>NC_000006.12:104010183-104161699 GCF_000001405.40 Homo sapiens | reverse complement strand
ATATAGTCATGCACTACATAAAGACATTTCAGTAACAGACTGCATATACAGTGGTGGTCCCATAAGATAATGAAGCTGAAAATTTCATATTGCCTAGTGATGTCCCAGTCATTGTTACATTATGTTATGTTGTCCTAGTGCGACTCATTCATCCCATTCTTGTGGTTATACTGATGTAAACAAACCTATTGTACTGCTAGTCTTCAAAAAAATAGCAATATAATTATGTACAGTACATAATGCTTGATAATAAATGACTATATTACTGGTTTATGTATTTACCACACTATATGTTTGTTATTTTATGGCATACTTCTAGTTATAAAAAAAAAAGTTTACTGTAAAACAGCCTCAGGTAGACCCTTCTCAAGGTATTCCAGAGGAAGGCATTGTTATAGGAAATGACAGCTCCATGTGTGTAACTGCCTCTGAAGACTTAGCAGTGGGACATGATGTGGAGGTGAAAGAGTAATATTGATGATCCTGACCCTCAATAGGCCTACACTGACGTGTGTGTTTGTGTCTTAGTTTATAAAAAAGTTTAAAAAGTAAAATATTAAAAAATAGGAGAAAGCTTATAGAATAAGGATATAAAGAAAGAAAATAGTTTTCTATAGCTGTACAATGTGTGTTACAAGCTAAGTGTTTTTACAAAAATGTCAAAAAGTTAAAAGTTTATAAAGTAAAAAATAACAGGAAGCTAAGATTAACTTATTATTGAAGAAATGAAATATATAAATTTAGTTAAATATACATTGTTTTTAAAGTCTACAGTAGTAGACAATAACGTCCTACTCCTTCACATTCACTCACCACTCACTCACTAAGAGCAACTTCTAGTCCTGCAAGCTCCATTCATGGTAAGTGCTCTATACAGGTGTATCATTTTTTATATTTTATCCTGTATTTTTATTGGACATTTTCTATGTTTAGATATGTTTAGATATAAAAATACTTGCCGTCATGTTATAATTGCCTTACAGTATTCAGTATGGGTACACATGTACTGTATAGGTTTGTAGCCTAGTAGCAACAGGCTATATCATATAGCCTAACTCTAGTAGACTATGCCATCTAGATTTGTTTGTACAGATAGATACAGTCCTCTCTCTACAACTGGAGTGGTTCCACAGAAAAACTAACTAATTTACTCAAGGTCACCCAACAGAGTAAGGCCTAGAGATCTGCCTTCTAATTCAATGTATCATTCCCAGTAAATTACCTTATGTGGCAGAAGAAAGACCACCATGACAGATAGAAAAACTTGTATTTTAATGATAGCTATATGCGTGACTTTAGCATGGTCTTTAACACTGTCTTAGTTTAATTAAATATTGGGAATACAATTAACAACTTTACAGAAGAGTTATGAGGGTTAAACATGATGTACATAAGCCATTTGGCACATTTTAAATCATCCAACAAATTTATTGGACACCTACAATATGTCAGTCATTGTTCTAAAAACTGAGGGCCCAGCAATCAAAAATATAGACAAAATCTCTGTCTACTTGAGCTTATGTTCTCATACACAATTAAAGAGCTATAGCTCTTTTTATTGACACCATTATTGTACTACTTCCATGAATCTTTTTCTTTCTCCACAATTAGTCATCAAATTCCATCCTTTCTGTTTCCTTCCCTCTGCCACCTGTGTTTCTAGATCTGCAATATTTTAATTTCTTCTGTTTATCTCTGTTCCTGTTATCCCTAATCCCACACAGTGTGCCAGGGTACTTAATAGACACTGTGCTTGCCTCTATAAATAGTCCAAGAGTTGGTTTCTAGTAGATTTTTAGCCTCCTTAAGCACTATGTCTTCAAGGCATCTCTTTTTAGCCCAATGTCTTATGCATAATACACCCTCAATAAGCCTTAATGATAATAAATGAAGACTGTTGTGTAGAAAACCTGCTTTTTCTATAACTCAGTGATAGATGCTGACTCTGTATTATGTTTTAATTATCGCATATTAAGTTCTTTTCAATTTGGGTAAAAAACCATCGCTGATCTTAATATTGGTTCCTTTTTACATAATATTCAAACAATTGATTAGCAATTTATTAAAAATAAAAATAGGTATACATTAAATTTCAAGCTACTTTTGTCTTTTGTGTCGAAGTACCTTCTCAAATTTTTCTGTTGCTTATATGTGTAAAAAAAATACACAAATAGAAAAGAAAAGCCAGTTTATTATTCACATTTCCTAATAGGGACAGCTTTTTTTGTCTCTCCCTGGGGCTGCTTGAGAAATTGAAACCTTCTGTTTTAAAAGTTAGAAAAGTTCTATCATGTGACTCTCTGTTGATTAAGTCCAGGAGTAAATTGGTAAAAATGAAAAATGAAACAAAACAAAACAAAAATAAAACAAAGAAAAAGCCCATTAATGGCTCTAGCACTTAGTCTGGAAGCTGGACAGGCTTTGAGTTCCCCTCTACCCTCCCTACCCAAAGATGGATACTCATTCCTGCTGTGTTTCCTCCATGAGGCACACTACAGGGTGGACCTGCTGTGCATCGATGGTCACTGAGGGCTGCTCATCTACCTAGTTTTTTATTTCAGTTCATTCAACTTTTCTCACCACTAGTGGGGTTCCTTTTCTTATATTTTTAAAATCCATACTTGTTTGCTTATTTAGACAGAGCTTAATTTCAGTCATGTAATGTCACTATACTCTGAATTGTTGTCAGTTGTATCTTATTCAAAAATACCATACAGAATATAGCATAACAAGCTGGAAATAAAATTTTATCATTCAGTAGCATTAAAAATGTAGAGTGCCATTGAAACAAATAATAGATCTGCTCCTTTTAATTAAACCATACACACTTTTTGTGTAGTAAATGCACCATATAATTACTATAGTTTTATATTCTCAAGGCAGAAAATATGTTTTATGTAATAGTTTTCCTTTAGTAAATATTGTACGAGATGATTAAAAGAATTAATTTTGTTGCAGCCTGGGTAGCTCCATAAAAACTAGAAACACCACTGTAAAATAGACTCTGAAGCAGTGGGAATGCAATGTTGATTAATTTTTTTCCTGCATTACTTAAATTGTTATACTTAACAATAGTATCGTTGGTAAAATAAATGACTTGTGATTTGAGATCAAGACTATTGGTAAAACTACCACTTCAAAGGAAAGATAATTGTAAAATAGTTTTCTGTAAAAAAAACTATTTTTTTTGCTTTAAAATGGAGGTACATTTAAAAGCAAAATAGCTATTTTTTGCTTTAAAATGGGGGTACATTTCATCTTGTGCTTAAATGATAAGGATAGCGTATCATTCTTACAAGTTCTTGTTTTGTCTGCTCTGGTTTTATTTTAGATGCATAATAAAACCAATTCTTTTCAAATAAATATGATTATGAAAGTTCTCAGACAAGCATGAAACTACAGTGTGTGAAAGCAGGAAGCACAAAACTAATGTAGTGGAATTCATGGTCTGTTTTCTTACTTCTTGACTGATATTCTTATGAAGGAAATTTTATTCAAGGAATTTATTATAACTATAGCCAAGAGCACATACACTTAGATCACAGCTGTGTGGTGTGATTTAAGAAGAGAATTTGCATCGTAGACTGAACTTTTTGAAAACCTTCCCTTCGGTGTGAAGTATCCTTATAACAACCACTTCTTAAAATAGTTGTTTGTGTAACATTGCAGTTTTATAATAAGACATATTTTTAGAAGAAGAAAAAAATAGTTTCAATTAAATTTTACATTTACATTTATCCCTGCAATTCTACAAAACAAACATATTTGTCTTGATTTGGTAGAGGGGCTCAGTGGTTCTTGGGTGTTAGGGAAACACTGTTTTACAGACAAGACAGCCCATCCCTACCTTAAATTAGTCCCCTTTGGACCATCAATGTCTCCTCCAATTTAATTCCTCAGTACAATACAAATAGAAAAACAAATGGCCCTTAAAATGTCTGTCATATTACAGACTGGTAGCATCCATAACTAGTGCCATGTGATAATTTGATGATTAAAATGATTACAGAACAGGTGGCATTCAGCATTACCAAAGAGACCAGACCTCAGTCATTCAAGAACAGGAGTTAGTTAAACTTGTCTATTAAAACATGGAACTGTCTGTAGTCTCGAGTTCCTTCTAAAATATACTTTAAAGGCCACATATTCTCTCTGAAATGTCCTCTTTTTTTTCATTTTTTTTTTTTGACAGTCTCACTCTGTCACTCAGGCTGGTGTGCAGTGATGCGATCTTGGCTCACTGCAACCTCCACCTCCTGGGTTCAAGTGACTCTCATGCCTCAGCATCCTGGGAGTAGCTGGATTACAGGCACACACCACCAAGCCTGGCTAATTTTTGTGTTTTTAATACAGACGGGTTTTCACCATGTTGGCCAGGCTGATCTCCAACTCCTGGCCTCAAGTATTCCGCCTGCCTTGGCCTCCCAAATTGCTGGGATTACAGGCGTGAGCCACAGTTCCTGGCCATCAAATGTCCCTTTTATTCTATGCACATAAAGTAACAATTAACATCAGTCTAGCTGTCAAGCTCTGGAAGTCAACACAATGTAGATAAACAGAGGACAGTGATCAGGTTAAATTTAATCAGAGTTTAACATCCTTTTCTGCAGTTTTCTGAACAGTGAATGATATATTTCACTGAGTTTTCTCATTCAGTGAGATTTCTGATTAGTTTGCTGGCCTTTTGAAATAACCTGTACATAATCACTTTTAGTATTTTTGGAGAGTTTTGAATGTATTTATTAGCTACCTTGCAATAATGGGGCTCTGGCTCTGCCACTGCGCTTTTTCTGGATATACAGTTCCATCTGCTGCTTGGGAAAAATATTCCACTGTATGTGTCACAACTCAGAATTCACATTCCCGATTCAATCCTATGTTCCCCTCTGATCTTTTCTTATTTTCTTTTGGCCTTTAGCTCATTCAGGCTCAAAACTTTGGGGTCAGCTTTGATTGATGAATTGACTGAAACATTTTCTTTGGGTAAAATTTCAAACCCAAATGTCCAACAATGATAGACTGGATTAAGAAAATGTGGCACATATACATCATGGAATACTATGCAGCCATAAAACATGATGAGTTCATGTCCTTTGTAGGGACATGGATGAAGCTGGAAACCATCATTCTCAGCAAGCTATCGCAAGGACAAAAAACCAAACACTGCGTGTTCTCACTCAAAGGTGGGAATTGAACAGTGCGAACACGTGGATACAGGAAGGGGAACATCACACACTGGGGCCTGTTGTGGGGAGTAGGGAGGGGGAGGGATAGCATTAGGAGATATACCTAATGTTAAATGAGGAGTTAATGGGTGCAGCACACCAACATGGCACATGTATACATATGTAACAAAGCTGCACATTGTGCACATGTACCCTAAAACTTAAAGTATAATAAAAAAAAAAAGATATAGCATCAACAACAAAAACAAAAAATTTCAAATTTTTACAAAAAGTTTTGTGAAAGAACCACCTATATACTACCTATACACTGGTTACCCAGATTCTTAAGTTGCTTACATTTGTCTTGTTTCTTTATGTCATTCTTTTTCTCTCTCCATATATATATTATATTATTTCTCTCTCCATGTATATATAACTTTTGAAACATCTGAGAGTAAATTGGACCATGGCATCCCTTTTCTCCAGAATACTTCACTATATATTTTCTAAAAACAGGGGCATTATTTTACATCACCATAGATAATTACGTTTGATATAATTATATTCGATATAATTATTTGATGTAATTATCAAAATAGTCTCTAATCTGTTGTCATTCCTAGTGTTTGGGAGGCTATGGAAGAACTACTTGAATGGTCTTTAGAGGAAGCAGTTTCCTCAGGGAAATGTCATATTTCCATTAGACCAAGAAGAGGAAAGAAACATTGGTGATGCAGTTAAAGTTTCAATTAAGTTGAAGCATTAAAATAAAATTTTAGGGAGTTTTGCTAATGATTACCTGTGAATTCCAGATGATCCAATAGAAAGACTTTAGGAATTGGGAAGAAATGGTAGATTGAGAAGGGTATGTGAAGAACAGGGTGAGAGATGAGGTCTGAAGAAGGCAGCTTGAGTTTCTTGTGGAGGTTGACACTAACAGGGAAAAAAGTAAGTATGAGTGTTGAGAAACAGAAGTTGTATCTTGCCAAGAGCATGCAGACTCTAGAACTTCCACAAAGCTCCAGCAAGAAGGCCAGAGTCGAGACAGACTTACTCCAAGTATATGATCTCCTTGTTGATCTCTCAAGATAGAGGCAGAAATGTTAGATGTATGCACCATTTGTCCTAGCAATTTTACTTAATGATTCAAAAATGAATAATCCTAGCACTTTTGGAGGCCAAGGCAGGTGGATCACTTGGGGTCAGGAGTTCGAGACCAGCCTGGCCAACATGGTGAAACCCCACCTCTCCAAAAAAAAAAAAAAAACAAAATTAATCAGGCGTGGAGATGTATGCCTGTAATCCCAGCTACTCGGAAGCCTGAGGCAGGAGAATCGTTTTAACCTGAGAGGTGGAGGCCGCAGTGCACCCAGATCATGCCATTGCACTCCAGCCTGGACAACAGAGTGAGACTCTGTCTCAAAAAAAACAAACAAGTGAACTTCAAATTTTTTAATTAGAAATCTATTTCTCTGTTTGATTTCAAAGAGTAGTATTTAGAAATCAAGAAGCATTCACATATATCAAATAGCCATTGCTGATAATATGGCTAGGAAGGATCTATGTCACCTTGAGAACTAAAATTAATCTCTTTAAACATATTGGTTGATGAACTTCACTATTCTTTCTGCTTAAATAGAAAAGCTTTTCCTAACTAAGAATATAAGAGCTACTGTAGGTAAAGGAAAGAGTTTAACATATTTCAAAGAAAAGGCTGGTATTTTTTTCAGAAGGAGCTTAATATAACTTACTGCATGGTATAATATATAAAAAGTATATTTAGACTATAAAGTCATAATAAATCTAGCAACATAGGATTGATGCAGAAAAGAACTAAGAGCTAAAATAGGACACATTAATCATAGTATATTAAATTTATATGATTAAAAATTTTATCTAGATTTTGGGGAAATTAGTGGTTCTACTTACCTAGGCATAACACCTAAAATTATAATATTATGCCAAATATGCATTATTAGTAGGAAATAAATACCAGGAAACAATGAAAATTACTTTTATAATATATATATTTTTTCCTTTGCATTTTTTAACCACATGTATATATTACCTACTCAAAAAAGAAACAAAATTAACTAAAACTTTGTTTAGCAATGTATAAACAACTCATCTTGGTTTTCAAAATTATTCAGTACTAAGTATTTATATGCGTCATTTTAGGTAATTCTTATAACTCTGTAAACATTAGCTGTTATCTCTATATTTATCCTTATTTTATAGGCAATAAAATTGACGTTTAGATAAACAATGTACTCAAGATCACATAGCTAGGAATGAAGAAACAAGGCTCTGAATACTGTTTTAGAAGGGATTGTATGGAGCTCAGCTAAGCTGGGAGAGAGAGCTGAGTGTCAGGTGTCAGAATACCTGATTCAAACAAGCCAAAAATGAAAGTTAAGCCTTTGATTTCTATGATGGTACAGGCCAGAGGCTAAAACACGAGAAGGCACAAATTCCCCTTGTTCCATTTCCTCCATGGAATGGTGCTCCTGTTCAGGATCAAGTGGATTAGCACAGATGTGGGAGTCATCTCACTGTTGAGGGCTCCAGTTTTATGGCAGCTTTATGAGGGCCAGAGGGATGGGAAAGGGAAAGGGCTAAGAGAGGGAAAAATCTGGGTTCTGAGAGTAGAGAAAAATATTTCCAAGACCTCTGTCCAAGGCCTCAAACAGAGATTTAGGAATGAAAGCTCTAGGACTAGGAATATAAATACACCAAGAACATGACTAGCCAGGGAGGCCTGAGTCCTTGACTCTAACTTCCTTCAGAGACTACAGTGCACTGGCTGTGCACCAAGTCTGGTGTAGGGAGGATACACCAGGTACCATACAGGTAAAGCCTTTGTAATTGCCTATGGTCAGGCCTGAAAAATCACACATAGGTTTTTAACCAGGAGTCAGACTCCTCAGGAACCTCATATCCTTTTGCACAGAACACAGAACATCCAGATATGATTAGCCAACTTCCTTTGCTGTATTATCACATTGTGCATATTCTTCCTCCCATTAAAACAGAGCTGGTCCTTCTACCTGTTCTGTGGTCTTTGGTCCCATTTACTTTCCTTAACTTATGACCTATTAAAAGAAATTCTAAACATTGACATTTAAACACTGTTAAGTATCTTTTATCTTAAAAACAACAACAACAGCACAGCAGTCATCTATCCACTATTGGCTCTGCTAATGCAATTTACCAGCTGACTGATGAAATGAAGTATGAGACTCTTGCTTGTGGCATCAGGGTCCTTAGATCATTTTTTAATGTTCCTGATAGTTTCCAAGTTCGCAGGTTGACTGGCAGGGAAATCATAAAGAAGAGAGCTCTTGTAGATAAGAATAGTATTTAAATTAAATTTAAAGAGAATATGTAGAATCTTTTATACATTTTGGTTATAAAAATGTGAACATAGTAAAAATTATGATTAATTTACTTTTCATAAATATTCCGGGATATTAGTTCATGATTCATTAATTCAGGATACAAAATCAATGTACATAAATCAGTAGCACCACTATACACCAACAACAAACAAGCAGAGGATCAAATCAAGACTCAACCCCTTTTACAACAGCTGAAGAAAAAATATAAAACTCAGGAATATACTTAACCAAGGAGGCAAAAATCTCTACAAGAAGAACTCCAAAACCCTACTGAAAGATCATTGATATGGTTTGGTTTTGTCCCCACCCAAATTGCAACTTGAATTGTATCTCCCAGAATTCCCACATGTTGTGGGAGGGATGCAGGGGGAAGTAATTGAATCATGGGGGCTGGTCTTTCCTGTGCTATTCTTGTGATAGTGAATAATAAGTCTCATGAAATCTGATGGGCTTATTGGTGGTTTCTGCTTTTGCTTCTCCTCATTTTCTCTTGCTGCCACCATGTAAGAAGTGCCTTTCACCTCCCGCCATGATTCTGAAGCCTCCACAGCCATGTGGAACAGTAAGTCTAATTAAACCTCTTTTTGTTACCAGTTTCAGGTATGTCTTTATCAGCAGTGTGAAAACAAACTAATACAGTAAATTGGTATCAGTAGAGTGGAGCATTGCTGAAAAGGTACCCAGAAGTGTGGAAGTGACTTTGGAACTGGGTAACAGGCAGAGGTTGGAACAGTTCAGAGAGCTTAGAAGAAGACAGAAAAATGTGGAAAAGTTTGGAACTTCCTAGAGACTTGTTGAATGGCTTTGCCCAAAATGCTGACAGTGATATGGACAATGAAATCCAGGCTGAGGTGGTCTCAGATGGAGATGAAGAACTTGTTGGAAACTGGAGGAAAGGTGACTCTTGTTGTGTTTTAGCAAAGAGACTGGCAGCATTTTGCCCCTGCCCTAGAGATTCGTGGAACTTTGAACTTGAGAGAGAAGATTTAGGGTATCTGGTGGAAGAAACTTCTAAGCAGCAAAGCATTCAAGAAGTGACTTAGGTGCTGTTAAAGGCACTCAATTTTATAAGGGAAGCAGAGCATAAAAATCTGGAAAATTTGCAGGCTATATGATAGAAAAGAAAAACCCATTTTCTGGGGAGAAATTCAAGACAGCTATAGAAATTTACATAAGTAGCAAGGATCCAAATGTTAATCCCCGTGACCATGGGGATAATATTTCCAGGGCATATCGGAGATCTTCATGGCAGCCCCTCTCATCACAGGCCTGGAGGCCTAGGAGGAAAACGTGGTTTTGTGGGCTGGGCCCAGGGTCCCCGTGCTGTGTGCAGCCTAGGGACTTGATGCCCTGTGTCCCAGCAGCTCCAGCCATGGCTGAAAGGGTCCAACAAACAGCTTGGACTTCGGCTTCAGAGGGTGGAAGCCCCAAGCCTTGGCAGCTTCCATGTGGTGTTAAGCCTGCAGGTGCACAGAAGTCAAGAACTGAGGTTTGGAAAACTCCACCTAGATTTCAGAAGATGTATGGAAATTCCAGATGTCCAGAAAAAAGTTTGCTGCAGGGGCAGAGCCCTCATGGAGAACCTCTGATAGGGCAGTGTGGAAGGGAAATGTGGGTTTGGAGCCCCAACACAGAGTCCCTACTGGGCCACTGCCTAGTGGAGCTGTGAGAAGAAGGCCACCGTCCTCTAGACCTCAGAACGGTAGATCCACCAACAGCTTGTCCCCCTGCACTTGGAAAAGCCAGAACACTCAATGCCAGCCTGAGAAAGCAGCCGGGAGGGAGGCTGTACCTTGCAAAGCCACAGGGTTGGAGCTGCCCAAGACCATGGGAACTCACCTTTTGCATCAGCCTGACCTGGATGTGAGACATGGAGTCAAAGGAGATCATTTTGGAACGTTAAGATTTGACTGCCCTGCTGGATTTTGGACTTGCATGGGGCCTATAGCCCCTTAGTTTTGGCCAATTTCTCCCATTTGGAATGGCTGTATTTACCAAATGCCTATTCTCCCATTGTATCTAGGAAGTAACTAACTTGTTTTTGATTTCACAGGCTCATAGGCAGAAGAGACTTGCCTTGCTTCAGATGGGACTTTGGATTTAGACTTTTGGGTTAATGCTGAAATGAGTTAAGACTTTGCGGGACTGTTGGGAAGGCATAACTTGTTTTGAAATGTGAGGACATGAGATTTGGGATGGGGCCAGGGTGGATTTGGCTGTGTCCCCAGCAAAATCTCAACTTGAATTGTATCTCCCAGAATTCCTACATGTTGTGGGAGGGACCCAGGGGGAGGTAATTGAATCATGGGGGCCAGTCTTTCCCATGCTATTCTCCTGATAGTGAATAAGTCTTACAAGATCTGATGTGTTTATCAGGGGTTTCTGCTTTTGCGTCTCCTCATTTTCTCTTGCTACAACTATGTAAGAAGTGCCTTTCACTTCCCGCCGTGATTCTGATGACTCCCCACCCATGTGAAACTGTTAAGTCCAATTATACCTCTTTTTGTTGTCAGTTTTGGGTATGTCTTCATGAGCAGCATGAAAACAAACTAATACAATCATAGATAACACAAATGGAAACACATCCCATACTCATGGATGGGTAGAATCAATATTGTGAAAATGATCATATGGTCTAAAGCAATCTACAGATTCAATGCAATTTCCATCAAAATGCCATCTTTTTTCTCCACAGAACTAGAGAAAAAAAATCCCAAAATTAATATGGAACCAAAAAAAGAGCTCACATATCCAAAGCAATACTGGGCAAAAAGAACAAATCTGGAGGGATCACATTACTTGACTTCAAATTATATTGCAAGGCTATAGTTACCAAAACAGCATAGTATTTGTATAAAAATAGGCAAATAGACCAATAAAAAAGAATAGAGAACCCAGAAATAAAACCAAATACTTACAGCCAACTGATCTTTGATGAAGCATACAAAAAGCATAAATTAGGGAAAGGACAACCTATTCAACAAATGGTGCTGGAAAAACTGAATAGCCACATGTGGAAAAATGAAACTGGATTCTCATCTCTCACCTTATACAAAAATAAACTCAAGATGGAGCAAAGACTTAAGTCTTGAAATAATAAAAATTCTAGAAGACAACATTGGAAAACTCTTCTAGATATTTGCTCTAGGCAAAGAATTCATGACTAAGACCCCAAAAGTATATGTAACAAGAACAAAGATAAAATAGGTGGGACTTAATTAAACTAGAAGACTTCTGCACAGCAAAATAAGTAGCCAACAGCGTGAGAGAAAATATTCACAAATTACGTATCTTACAAAGGACTAATATCCAGAAGATACAAGGAACTCAAATCAGCAACAACAACAAAAATCCCATCAAAAAGTGGGTAAAGGACATGGATAGGCAATTCTCAAAAAAGGATATACAAACAGCCAACAAACAGGAAAAAATGCTCAACGTCACTAATTATCAGAGAAATGCAAATGAAAAACACAATGCGATGCCATCTTACTCCTGCAAGAATGACCATAATTAAAAAGTCAAGAAATAATAGATGTTGGTGTGGATGTGGTGAAAAGGGAACGCTTTTACACTGCTGGTGGGACTGTAAATTAGTAAAACTACTATGAAAATAGTGGTTTTTACTATGGAGATTCCTTAAAGAACTAAAAGTAGAACTACCATTTGATTCAGCAATCCCACTACTGGGTACCTACCTGAAGGAAAACAAAAGTCATTATATGAAAAAGATACATGCACTCACATGTTTATAACAGCACAATTCATAATTGCAAACACATGGAACCAACCTAAATGCCCATCAACCAACAAGTGGATAAAGAAAATGGGGTATATATACACCATGGAATACTACTTAGCCATAAAAAGTAATAAAATTATGTCTTTTGCAGCCACTTGGATGGAGCTAGAAGCCATTATTCTGCGTGAGTTAACTCAGGAATGGAAAACCAAATATCGTATGTTCTTATAAGTGGGAGCTAATCTATGAGGATGAAAAGGCATAAGAATGATAAAATAGACTTTGGAGACTTGCAGGGAAGGACTCCACCCTCCAAGGAGGTGGGTGAGGAATAAAAGAGTACATACTGGATACAGTGTATACTTCTTGGGTGATGGGTGCACCAAAATCACAGAAATCATCACGAAAGAACTTATCCATGTAATCAAAAACCACTTTTACCCCCCAAACTATTGAAATGAAGTATAAATATTGGAAAGAGGGAGATGAAATTACTATTGTTTTACAGATAATATGATACATATCTATAAAAACCCAAAAGAGTCAACCTAAAAACTATATGACAAACAATAAGAAAATTCAGAAAGATAAATGGATACACAATTGAAATACAGAGATGAATAGAACTCAAAAATACAAGCATTAGAAGATATAACAAAAGTGTAGCAGTAGAAAGCGAAAATGCCTAGGAGTACAATCTTTAATACCCAAGAACCAAGAATCATATACAATCTTTGATGAAAGCTTAAAAATGCTCCAGAAGACCATAATTTGTTCTACAAATTTGTTTATAAGCATGCAAGATGATGAAAATGCAAGGTTATATATTACGGTAGTATTTGACATAGCAAAATATTGCAAACCACTGGTCTGACAATAGAGTACTGGTTAAACTATTGTCTATGCATCCAATAGATTATTAAGCATCTCTTAAGAATGAGGACGCCTTTTGTGTGTTGATATGAAATATGTTTCAAGTTGTATTGTTAATTAAACACACATGTACAAAATGTGAAACATTTACAGTCTTCTACCATTTGTCCGAAAAAGGTAGAAAGAGGGAGTATATAAAAATATATACAGATAGGCACTTGCTAAAATGTTTGTGAAAGGATACCACTGATAACATTGTTTGTTTCCAGAAAGGGGAAATAGGTGGTTGGGGACAAAGTGGAGAAAGACTGTATACCAAATACTCATTCTGTGTTTTGATTCTTGAATCATATGAGCACATTGTCTATTAAAAAATTAAGCACTATTTAAAAAATATTGTTTATGCACTAAAGCCAAGTGTTTTTTTTTAAAAAATGATCTATTACTAGGGTTACTAGGTGTTCATTGAAATAATAAGTTCAAACCAGAAGAATGGTTACCAGTGAGTGCTATGTCTGTAGTTAACCAAGCGATGTTATTTTTGCTTGAACAAATCTGTTAACAGTAAAATATCACAGTGTGATTAAACTTATAGAAATGGAAACAGGTTCATTGAAACTAGAGAGCTGGAGTCACATAAATTCAAGGGCTTATTCTTCAACTGTATTCTTGAAAGTTGGTGTAAAGTGCTCTTCCAATGGATTGTTCCCTTGCTTCACCTCATAAAACCAATCTATCCTCAGATTTACATGCTACTATTTGTACCCTGAGGATGGAGCTGTTAATATTCTCCCTGCTCAGCTCCTTAACTACTTCAGGGCAAACTCCTGAACAACAGATTTTATTTAGTAATTGGCCCCTTGGGGATATAAATAAAAATTAAGATGATAAACTACAAAAGAATCTAAAACTCTATTCTCATATTTTTTCTAAAATATAGGACTTCCTGAGAGATACAGCCTTGTTGAGTGCTCTCTCTTGTATCCTTGACTCAAAAATCATGACTTCATGATTTAAAGAATGACACTATTTTACATTGGCTCTACAGTGGTTTCCCTTGTGAGGTAGTTAGCTGGTTTAAAATGAAGTCCTTCTCCTTATCATCCTGAGAAACTGCCTTATATGTTAAATATAACCTAGAATATGGAATGCTCATCATCAAGAGTAAGCATATAAACAGTAAGTTGCTCATTCCGGATTGCATTTTCTGTTGCTCAGCTAGGTGAACCTATTCATGTTCCTGTTATTTTAATAGTTTATTTAAAACTTGTATTTAAATAATTTCTTCATCAGAATATGTTTCTGAATTAAGAAAACATTCACATCTTCCTCTTGTCACATTAGTTGATGCACAGAGCAATTGTATTCACAATGTCAAAATGTAGCTGATAAATTATTAGTACTAGGTTTGCATAAATCGTTTTGGCCACTCTTGTTTCTTATCACAAGTAGTTGACTAATCTTTAGGTATTTTCATTTTGAAGTAAACAATCTCAGATTTGTGACTGCTCTTTTATTCTGAAATAGTGCTTGTTTACATTGGAAGAATTAGTGTTTTTTCAGTTTAAATACAGTGAAAGTATAATTTATCCTAGAAAGTATGGTTATCACTGGAAATATTGTATTTACATAATAATTAAGCCAGACTCAGTGTCTGTATTGATTTTAACCAGTATATTCTTACATGAATATATTTATAAGTAATATTAAAAATATGTATGAGTAAACTTAAAAGCCAGAAAATGATACCTGTATTTTCCTGTGTATTTTCTTTTAGTATATTCCTTTAAATGAGTATGTTTGTGGAACAAAGATAAACTACTACTTTGAAGTTGTCAGTATGTTTTTACTGTTGCTAATGATGAAGTATTGATTTCTCACACATGTTTTGTTCTGTATAGTGGAAACTAAAGTTTGGGTTAGGCCCTGTCTTTGCTCTGAAAGAAACATTTCTGTGGGGTACTTTTAGTCAGGACTGTATAATTCAGGTTTTCCTTAATTAGGCCTCCCTTTTTCCAGTGAATGTTGTAAGCAAGTTAAATAGTCCAAATGAAAGGCTTGAGACTGTGCTGTTATTTGCTTAGTATTACATGTTGGATTAATATATTTTAGCAGATTATTTGTAGAAATTTTTTCTAAATGTGATTAATAGTGACTGTCTAAGAAATACTGCTTGTTTTTAGGAAGGGTGTGCTCAAAGCATGTTGTAAGCCTGGCCTATCAGGAAAGACAGAACAACCTATATTCCCCTTACCTTGACAAGGTTAGAGACTACCAACAGGACAACAACCAGCTTGGGTATAGAGCTACAACCACTGGACAGCGTCCCCTGAATGGCACATCTAACCAACTGAATAGCCAAGAGTTTGGAAAGTTCACTGTTGACTCCCTGTCTCATCCTGGCTATATTCTTTTAAAAAGTTAAATAGTGTGCCATGTTGTTCAGGACGTGGGACAAGAGAAAAGGAAATGAATCTTGAATTGGAAGAGAAGAGGAATGCTTCTAGGGAGGGCCAAGTAGTATGCTAGTTCCTAGTGAAGTGGCTATGTTGTCTGGGGTATGTACCTAGGGTTAGTCATCTGGTGCCAGGAAAATTTAGGACACGGACACACATGAGGAGCTTAGGAGTGGAGGTTTAATAGGCAGAAGAAGAGAAAGAACAACAGCTCTCTGTTGAGAGAGGGGATTTCCAAGTGGAAAGACCAGCCGGCAGTGGATGCACCGGATTTTGTAGTCCGGCTTGAGGAGGTGGTGTCTGATTTACATAGGGCTCACAGATTGGTTCCATCAGGTGTGTTGTTTAGGTAGCATTTGGGGAAGGATGGTCCCCCAACCCTAATCTTATGCAAACAAATTCTACCCTTGGCTAGGGCCATCTTGTCTGCTCCTTACTACACACGTGGAGGGCAGAGAAGGGAAGATGGAGCCCCCATCTTGAACATGCCTAGTCCCTAGTTCCTGCCGGCATTCACTGTGCAAGCTTCCAGCTTGCTTATGTCTGCAGCTCGACTTTACAGGCTACTCTTTGTTAGAAAATGATTTGGGGCTGCTTTTCATTAAAAAGAAAAGCCTTACCAAGGACTCCCATACCCCTACTATCTGCCTAAGTGATTTCTTCTTAACTCCTATAGCACTAGAAGAACGAAGACAGGACTAAAGAGACTCCTTTCTGAGAAATAAGAGGACCCCTTGGACATGTTTGCAGGCCAAGTTCAGGAGCAAGAAGACCTGTGAGATGTTATGTCTGGGATGCCCTGAATAGGTACATGGCCAATAGCTTGAGGAAGAGAGGCATCTGACAACCTCAGAGTTTTGTGTTTTGCTTTGTAGCATATTTACATTATCTAGTCTTTTATACAATTTAGTCAGACTCTATGGCCTAGGTTAACTGAGCTTTCAAGGAATGCAAGAAGGAGGCTGTGTTTGCATCTGTGGCTCATTACATTTGAAGGCAGCTTTAATTGTGCACCCAAAAAATGGTTACCAGGTACCAAGAAGCTTAGATCAGAAGTCTAGAGCAAGAGGTAGCAAAGGACAATGAAAGTAGACTTGGAAGCCTTCCCTGGTGATTTCCAGAAATACTGAGTGATAAGAATAAGATAAAAGACTGCCTGCAGGAACACAGAGTGGGGTGCTGTCTACAATACCTGATTATTAAAGTGAACATAAGAGACTGTATTGCCTTTAATATTACCTTTAGAGACACATATAATTAGTTATGGGTTCTTAACCTGGAATCTCTAGGGACCCTGTGGACAATCTACTTTATATTCAATCTTCTGTGTATACCTATGTTTTCTTTGGGAAAAGATGTATAACTTTTATTAGATTCTAAAAATAGCCAATAAGTCTCTCTCTATATATACACACACACACACATATATATATACACATATATATATTTGATTGTAGCATCTTAATTTTATGTATTTTAGGAAGTTTGTTTCTTCTTTTCAATTTAACATTATATTTTGAGTACATTCTCCAGGTAATAATTATTGTTTGAAGGCATCAGCTTTTATGGCTTTCTAATATTCTAAAATATAGATAGATCATGGTTTGAGTATTCCAGTGTTATGAACCAACTTGTTTCCTAAATTTTACTAATAAAAATAATGCACTATGTCTATGTCAAGCAGAACTCTAAGTGGCCCCCCAAGTCTCCTTGACCAAAATTGTTGGAACCTGTGAAGATGATGTGATACCATTTGCAGGAATTTGTTATGTATATGGCACAGCTGACTTTAAGATAAGATTGTCCAGGTGGGCCTATTCTAATCACATGAGCCCCTTTAGGTGTAGAGTTTACTTTGGCTGGTGGCAGAAGGGGAAATCACAGAGATTAAAAGCCCATGAAGGTTTCTGTGCACTCATGCAAGCTTCGAAGATGGACAGGGCCTCTAGAAGCTGCCTGGTTCTGGGGGCAGCCAGCAAGGTAAAGGGACTGCTCTCTAACTGCAAGGAATTGCATTGTACCAGCAACATGACTGAGCTTGGAAGTGGATTTGTTCACAGGGCTTCCAGAAAAGCGTGCAGCCTTGAGAACACCTTGATTTCAACCTTGGGCAGAGGATCCGGGCACATCATGCCAGGACTCTGACCTACAGAACTGTGAGCTATTAAACAGGTGTTACAAAGCTGCTAAATTTGTGGTAATTTGTTATGCAGCAAAATGTGGTAAAAGAGCTACTGTAAATAGCATACAATTGTGTCTGAATGTATAATTTACTTAGTGGATTAGAAATGCAAGTACTAGTTCTCAGCACATAAATATATAAATGAATGCTATCCAGTCATTTCCCCCCAAAATATCTGGCAATAAAAACCTTCTATCAGTGTATAAGAGGACAAATGCTACATTAGGCTTTCTGATATTAAATAATAGTACTTAAGTAAAGCTTTGTTAATTTTGATAAGTAAAATATCGTAGTTTATCATATCAATTTGCTTCTCTTTTATTATTGAGACCAAAATATTTAATATTTATCAAACATTTAAGTTACTTCTATAAATTTTCTTTTCATGCCTATTGCCACTTATTCTTTTGGGGATTTTGTGGTTGAGTATCATTTGTATGAGCTCTTCACATAATAAGAACAGTAAACTTTGTCTACCATATTTGGGCAAATGATGTTTCAAAGTTTCTTACTTGAAGAGGTAAAAAAGATTAAAAATATTATATAACCACATCTATTGAATTTTTCCTTGTGCTTTCTTTCATACCTTTATGCTTAGAAAGTCTATTTACACTCTTATATTAGATATTCAACTATAATGTATTTTAATTTTTTGTGAAGTTTGAATTTAATGACAATCTAGGATATAATTTGGAGCATGACATGAAGCAATATATTCTTTTCCTTAAATAATAACTTTATATTGCTATCACCATATAATAAACAATTTTTCTTTCTTGCTTAGATTTTTGTTTTCTCTTTCGTTTAATATTTATGCTGCTAAATATGTGGAAATGTTGTATTTTGTGGGGAGGGAGGAAGAAGTTATAGTTCAATCCCAGGACAAAGACAATATTTTATCAATTATTCATAGTGTATTTTTATATCTAGAATGTCCATGACCATCTCATTTTTAATCGTCTTTTCACATTTTCTTTTTAACATCAGTCTTGATTTCCTCCAAATGAAATTTAGGATCACCTTGTTAAATTTCAAATACATTTTGGACTGGAGATTATTAATTCTATGAATTAATATAGGAAAAATTGAATGATCAAAATAATCTGCATGTGTAGGATTGTGATATGCTATCTCATGTTATTTAAGAATAGATAGGCCCCACACATTTTTTCAAAGATTATTTGTGGGTATTTTATAGTTTATATTGATATGTTGACTGGAATGTTTTTCCACAATATTTTGTACTTTGTTAGGATTATAAAGGGAAATTATTAATAGCTCATTTGCATCATATATACAGGAGTGCTTTATTAATGCTAAAATATTTTTTCACTTGATTTCCTTGGGATTTCTAGATATATATAATTAATGTTCTAAATACATATACATGTTTTATATAAATAATGGAAATAGTTTATGCTTTTTGAGATCCATACATTTTATTTCTTCTTCTTGTTTTACTGAACTGCCACAGGATTTCAGAGCCATTTAAAATATGATAATAGCAAGTTCCTAATGTTAATGAGAATGTTTCTATTGTTTTGTTACTGAGTATAATGTTAGTTTTGGTTTAAAGTACACAGTTCTTATTTATGTTATTAAAGTTTTCTTCTTAAATCCTATGCAGTGGAATAAGTAGAATTATGCTCGGGATATCAGGTTTATTCTAATGACATCTCTGCTTCTCATCTATCTCCTTTTTTTCTTTCTATGACAAATAATGAAAATACTACTACTTTAGGAGAGTGCAGTGGCTCATGCCTATAATCCCAGCACTTTGGGAGGCTAATGCAGAAGGATGGCTTGAGGCCAGAAGTTCAAGATCAGCCTGAACAACATAGCAAGACCTTGTCTCTACAAAAAAATAATTTAAAAATTAGCTGGGCATGGTGGCACACATCTGTAGTTCCAGTTATTCAGGAGACTGAGGCAGGAGAATCACATGAGCTCGGGAGGTCAGAGGCTTCAGTGAGCCATCATCACATCACTGTACTCCACACAGGGTGACAGAGTAAGACTGTCTCAAAAAAAAAAAACTACTTCAGAGTTTTCAAAACTTTTATTTTTTAAAATAGCAATATCTAGTTAACAAAAAGAGCCCAAATAGCCAAGTTCATCCTAGACAAAAAGAACAAAGCCAGAGGCATAATGTTGCCCTGTAGTATAGTTTGAAGTCAGGTTACAGAAACCAAAATAGTGTGGTACTGGTACAAAAACAGACAGATAGACCAGTGGAACACTCTATAGAACCCAGAAATTAGACCACACACCTACAACTATCTGATCTTTGACAAACCTGACAAAAAGAAGCAGTGGGGAAAGGGTCCCTATTCAATAAATGGTGCTGGGATAACTGACTAGCTATATGCAGAAATGGACTCCTTCCTTACACCATATACAAAAATTAAGATGGATAATGTGGTTTGGATTTGTACTCCCACCCAAATCTCATGTCAAATTGGAAGAAGGGCCTGGTGGGAGGTGATTAGATCATGGGGACAGATTTCCCCCTTGCCGTTCTCATGATAGTGAATTCTCATGAGATCTGATGGTTTAAAAGTGTGTGACATCTCCCACTCTGCTCTTCCTCTCCTCTGCCATGGTAAGACATGCTTGCTGGCCCCTCACCTTCTGCCATGATTGTAAGATTCCTGAGGTCTCCCAGTCATACTTCTTGTTAAGCCTGCAAAACTGCGAGTCAATAAAACCTCTTTTCTTTATAAATTACCCAGTCTCAAGGTAGTTGTTTATAGCAGTGTAAGAACAAACCAATATAGAAAATTGGTCCTGAGAATGGGGCACTGCTATAAAGATACCTGAAAATGTGGAAATGACTTTGGAACTGAGTTATGGGCAGAGGTTGGAACATTTTGAAAGGCTCTGAAAAAGAGGAAGATGTGGGAAAGTTTGGAACTTCCTAGAGACTTGTTGAATGGTTTTGACCAAAATGTTCAAAGTGATTTGGACAGTGAAGTCCAAGTTGAGGTGATCTCAGATGGAGAGGAGAAACTTATTGGGAACTACGGTAAAGGTCACTTGTGCTACGCTTTTGCAAAGAGAGTGGTGGCAGTTGCTAAAGCATAGCACAAGTGACCTTTACTCCAGTTCCCACCAGATCTCTGATGGCCCTAGAGATCTGTGGAAATTTGAACTTCAGAGAGATGGTTTAAGGTATCTGGCAGAAGAAATTTCTAAGCAGAAAAGCACTCAAGATTTGACCTGGATGTTTGTAAAAGTGTACACTCATGTGTGAAGAAAGAGATGGTCTGAAATTAGAACTTATATTTAAAAGGGAGGCAGAGCATAAATGTTAGGAGAATTTGTAGCCTGACCATGAGGTAGAAAAGAAAACCCATTTCCGGAGGATAAATTCAAGCCAGCTGCTGAAATTTACATAAGCAAAGAGGACCCAAATATTAATAGCAAAGACAATGGGGAAAAAAATCTGCAAGACACTTCAGGGATCTTCATAGCAGCACCTCCCATCGCAGGCCTGGAGGCATAGGAGGGAAAAATGGTTTCCTGGGCTGGACTCAGAGCCCCACTGCTCTGTGCAGCCTTGGTACATGGCACCTTGCACCCCGGCTGCTCCAGCTCCAGACAGGTCTAAAAGGGACCAAGTTACAGATCAGGCCATTGTTTCAGAGGGTGCAAGCCCTACCTTGGAAGCTTCCAAGTGGTGTTGGGCCTGCGGGTCCACAGAAGGCAAGAAGCTGAGGTTTGGGAGCCTCTGCCTAGATATCAGAGGATATATGGAAATGGAAATTTCCATGTGGTGTTGGGCCTGCAGGTGCACAGAAGGCAAGAGCTGAGGTTTGGGAGCTTCTGCCTAGATTTTAGAGGATATATGGAAATGGCTGGAAGTCTAGGCAGAAGACTGCTGCAGGGATGGAACTTTCATGGAGAACCTCTACTAGGGCAGTTCAGAGGGGAAATGTAGGGTTGGTTGGAACCCCCACAGAGAGTCCCCACTGGGGCACGGCCTAGTGGAGCTATGAGAAGAGGGCCACCATCCCCCAGACTCCAGAATGCTGTATCCATTGACTGCTTACACTGTGTGTCTGGAAAAACTGCAGACATTCAATACCAGCTCCTGAAAGCAGCCAATGGTGGTGTACCCTGCAAAGCCACAGGGTTAGAGCTGCCCAAGGCCTTGGGAGCATGCACCTTGCATCACTGTTGACTGGATGTGACACAGGAAGTCAGAGTAGATTTTGGAGCTTTAAGACTTAATGGCTGCCCTGATGGGTTTCAGATCTGCAAGGGGCCTGTAGCCCCTTTGTTTTGGCCAATTTCTCCCATTTGGAATGCAAGCATGCAATGCCTGAACCCTTGTAAACTCAAAATCTGAGACAGATCTCAGTTAATTTAGAAAGTATATTTTACCAAGATTGAGGACACGCATCCATGACACAGCATCAGGAAGTCCTGACAACATGTGCAAGGTGGTTGGGGCACAGCTTGGTTGTAGACATTTTAGGGAGACATGAGACATCAATCTCATCTATATGTAAGAAGTACATTGGTTCTGTCCAGAAAGACGGGGACAACTCGAAGCAGGGAGGGGGTTTCCAGGTCACAGGTCACAGATAGGTGAGAGACAAATGGTTGCATTATTTTGAGTTTCTGATAAGGCTTTCCAATGGAGGCAATTAGAATATGCATCTATCATAGTGAGCAGGGGATGACTTTGAATAGAATAGGAGGCAGGTTTGCCCCGAGGAATTTCCAGTTTGAATTTTACTTTTAGCTTAGTGATTTGGGGTGCTCAAGATATTTTCCTTTTACACCCCCATTGTATCTTGGAAATAACTACCTTGTTTTTTATTTTACCAGCTCATAGGTGGAAGGGCTTGTTTTGTCTCAGATGAGACTTGGGAATTTTTGAGTTAATGCTGGAATGAGTTAAGACCTTGGTGACTGTTGGGAAGGCATGACTGGTTTTGAAATGGAAAAGGACATGAGATTTTGGAGAGGCCAGGGGCAGAATGATATGGTTTGAATTTGTGTCCCCACCCAAATCTTATGGCACGTTGGAGGAGGGGCCTGGTAGGAGGTGATTGAATCATGGAGGTGGATTTTCCCCTTGCTGTTCTTGTGATGCTGAGTGAGTTCTCACAAGATTTAATCATTTAAAAATGTATAGAATCTCCCCCTTTTCTCTCTTTCCTGCTCCACCATAGTAAGATATGCTTGCTCCTCTGTCGCCTTCCACCATGATTGTAAGTTTTCTGAGGCGTCCCAGTCATACTTCCTGTAAAGCCTGCAGAACGTTGAGTAAATTAAACCTTTTTTCTTCATAAATTACCCAGTGTCAGGTAGTTATTTAGAGCAGTGTGATATGATTTGGCTGTGTCTCCACTCAAATCTCATCTTAAATTATAGCTCCCACAATTCCCATGTTCATGGGAGGGACCCAGTGGGAGGTAATTGAATCATGGGGGCAGAACTTTCCTGTGCTGTTCTTGTGATAGTGAATAAGTCTCATAAGATCTGATGGTTTTATAAAAGGGAGTTTCTCTGCACAAACTCTCTCTTGTCTGCCACCATGTAAGATGTGCCTTTTGCCTTCTACCATGATTGTGAGGCTTCCCCAGCCATATGGAGCTGTGAGTCCATTAAACCTCTTTGTATTTATAAATTACTCAGTATCAGGTATGTCCTTATAAGCAGCATGAAAACAGACTAATACACAGTGTGAGAACACAGTAATACAATGGATTAAAGACTTAAATGTAAAACCCAAACTAAGAAAACCTTGGAAGACAACCTAGGCAATGCCATTCAGGACATGGCATGGGCAAAGATTTCATGATGAAGAAGCAAAAAGCAATTGCAACAAAAGCAAACATTGACAAATGGTATCTAATTAAAATGAAGAGCTTTTGCACAGCAAAAGAACTATCAACAGAGTAAACATACAACCTACAGAATGTGAGAAAATTTTTGCAAACTATGCATCTGACAAAAGTCAAATATTCAGCATCTATAGGGAACTTATACAAATTTACAAGAAAAAACCCCATAAAAAGTGGGCAAAGGACATGAAAAGACACTTTTCAAAGTAAGAAATAATGTGACCAACAATCATATGAAAAAAAGCTCATCACTGATCATTAGAGAAATACAAATCAAAACCACAGTGAGATACCATCTCACACCATTCAGAATGTCTGTTACTAAAAAGTCAAAACATAACAGATTCTGGCAAGATTGTGGAGAAAAAGAAATGCTTACACACTGTTGTGGGAGTGTAAATTAGTTCAACCATTGTGAAAGACAGTGTGGCGATTCCTCAAGGCCTAAAGACTGAAATACCATTCGACCCAGAAATCCTACTACTGGATATATACCCAAAGGAATATAAATCATTCTATTACAAAGACACATGCACATGTATGTTCATGGCAACACTACTCACAATAGCAAAGACATGGAATCAACCTACATGCCCATCATTTAGGCTGGATAAATAAAATGTGATACATATATATACCATGGAATACAAGGTATCCGTAAAAAAGAATGAGATCATGTCCTTTGCAGGGACATGGATGGAGCTGTAAGCTATTATCTTTAGAAAACTAACATAGGAACAGAAAACTAAATACCACATGTTTTCACTTACAAGTGGGAGCTAAATGGTAAGAACACATGAATACATAATTGGGGAACAACACACACTGGGGCCTATTGGAAGGTGGAAGGTGAAACAGGGAGAGGATCAGGAAAAATAATTAATGGGTACTAGGCTTAATACCTGAGAGATAAACTAATCTGTACAACAAACCCTCAAGACACAAGTTTACCTGTGTAACAAACCTGCACATATATTCCTATACTTAAAAGTTAAAGAAATATCTGGTTAATGTTTGATTTATTGCCTACTTGTTGGCTTTTTCGTGAACAAATTTTGGGTATTATTAATTTGGCTACTGTTTTGTGAGAATAAATTTCATTAAAAATTTCAAGTATATAGAGTATTAGTTCATCTTATTTAATTGGATAACTTAGAGCTATATCTTATTTTTCCAATTATATTTGCATATAAGTTTTTAACTATCATATTTTGCAAAAATTTAATATTTATATATTTTGCAATTAGCTTTTGCATTTATCAATTCTTTGATATGCATTTATGTCAAGACTTTTATCAGTGCTTTTTATCTATTCATGAATAATTTCCACTTTTAATTTTAGTATGTGTGGGCTATTTTTGCAGCACCATATCCCCAGTGTCTACAATAAGTCTTCACCTAGTAGATGTCAATGTATATTGATTATATAAATAAATTGCATTTCTTAGATTTTGAGAAAATACATTTGAATTAAATATTTCATTGAATAATGAAATCATGCCAAGTGCTTAAAATTACTTTGGGTCTCAACACTTGCTTGGCTATACATGTAATATGCTGATTAGTTGTGTGGTAGATTTCATCTTCTAAATATGTTATGCTTTTGATTATACATTTTACCCAATAGTTTTTAAGAGTGTTTCAAATTCCTGAATCATTTTTGTTTCAACTTTCATTAGTAATTTAAAATTACAGAACATTTGGGTTTGAGAATTAATAGTATTAAATATGTGGCCTAATATATGATTCATTTTTATAAATATTTCATATATGCTTACAGTAAATTGCTCTAAGAAATTGGGTTTTCTCATTATAATGATTTAGTAATATTTGAAAATGACTTATATTAGTAAAAAATGTATATCATAAATGAGGGAAACCAATAAAATAATTTTGATGAATTATTATTGATACTCTGTGAGATGAGATGAAATAAAATCATAGAAAATGCTCAATTAAGCCAGGCACAGTGGCTCACACCTGTAATCCTAGCACTTTGGGAGGCTGAGGTGGTGGATCACTTGAGACCAGGAGTTTGAGACCAGCTTGGCCAACATGGTGATACCCTGTCTCTACAAAAAATACAAAAATTAGCCAGGTGTGGTGACACATACCTGTAATTCCGGCTATTTAGGAGGCTGAGGCAGGAGAATTGCTTGAACCTAGGAGGTGGAGGTTGCAGTGAACCAAGATTATGTCACTGCACTCCAACCTGGGCGACAGAATGAGACCCTGTCTCAAAAAAAGAAATAAAATAAAATAAAATAAAATGCTCAATTAAAATCTCAGAAGACAGAACAACAAGGAAGAAAAATAAAGAACAAATGAAATAAAATAAAGCAGTTATAAACATGGTAGATATTCATTCAATTATATCAATATAAACATTAAATATGAATGGTCTAAACATTAATTAAAAGAGTTTGTGATAGTGGATTAAAAATTTAAGACCCAACTAATTATTGTCTATAAAAATTTCACTTTACATATAAATCCCAGATACATTAAAAAAAAAAGGGATGGAGAGAGGTATAATATGCTAACACTAGTCAAAGAAAGCTGGAACAGGTTATTAAATTTAGACAGAGCTGATTTCAGAACAAGAACGTGTTTTAGTTACCTTCTATCACCCTGTTGGTGAGAGGGGGATTACCAACCTGGAGTTATGTGAATGGCACCCAACACTGGACAGATAAACATTACAGCAGTTTATTAGTCAAATGTATTCACAGCCTGGGGGAGGAGGACACGCACACCATACCAGACAACGTGGGGTTTACACACAGAAGCAGAGTGAAAAACCAGAGGCTGTTGGATGCAGGCTCTGTAGTATGAAAATAATGGATGTCCCCTAGTTCCCATAGGAGGTTGTGTTGAGCTTGTTTGAGTAATTCTGTTAGCTGGCAGGAAACTAATACTGGCTGCTCAGGGATAAGCAGGAACTGTGCTTATTCCCCAAGATAAGGGTTGTTTGGCTGTAAGGACCTTATCTGTGGAAGCATAATAGGGAGGTGAACTTGTGGTTAGGCCTTTTTGTGGCCCTTCTGATTTTACCAGATGTTAAGACAGCACATAATGTTGGCCCTTAATTTCTGGCCTTACCCCATAGAAAGTATCTGGGTCAAAGAGAGTGTTAACATAATGACAAAGAGGTCAATTTCTGTAAGAACACCCAACAATCTTAAATATGTAGGAACCTAACAAACAGAGCATCAAAATACTTGAAGCAAAATCTGATGGAACTGTGAAAGGAGAAATAGATAAATCCCCTCTTACAGTTGAAGTCTTCAACATCCCTCTGTCAGTGATGGATTAAATCAAGCAGGCAGGAAAACAGTAAGGCTATATGTGACCTGACTAGCAATATCATACACTTTGATCTAATTGACATTTATAGAATACTTTCATGCATTTACAGGCATACCTCAAAGATATTGTGGGTTCAGTTTCAGATCGCCACAATAAAATAAATATTACAATAAAATAAGTCACACAAATGCATGGTTTCCCCATGCATATAAAATTTATGTGTACGCTATGCTGTGGTCTACCTCATTGCCAAAAATGCTAACAATCACCTGACGCTTCAGCAAGTTGTAATAGTTTTTCTGGTGGAGGGTCTTACCTCCATATTGATGGCTGCTTACTGACATGGATGGTGGTTGCTGAAGGTTCCAGTGGCTATGGCCATTTCTTAAAGCAACAATGAAATTTACTTCATCAATTGACTTTCTTTCATGAAAGATTCCTCTGTAGCATGGACAGCTGTTTGATAGCATTTTACCCACAGGAGAACTTCTTTCAGTTTTGAAGTCAATTTTCTCAAACCCTGCTGCTACATTTTCAACTCAGTTTATGTACTATTCTAATTCCTTTGTTGTCATTTCAGGAATTTCTACAGCATCTTCACTGGCAGTAGATACTATCTCAAGAAACTGCTTTCTTTGCTGATTCATTAGAAACAACTCATCATTCATTCAAGGGTGATCATGAGATTGCAACAATTAGTCACATCTTCAGGCTCCATTTCAAATTTAGTTATCTTGCTGTTTCTACTACACCTGCAGGTACTTCCTCCACTGAATTCTTAAATATCTCAAAGTCATCCATGAGGGCTGGCATCAACTTCTTTCAAACTCCTGTTTATGTTGATATTTTGACCTCCTCCAATGAATCACAATTATTCTTAATAGCATCTGAAATGCTAAATTCTTTCCAGAAGGTTTTCAATTAACTTTACTCAGATCCATCTAGAGGAATCACTATGGTAGCTATAGCCTTGCAAAATATATTTCTTAAATAATAAGACTTGAAGGTAGAAATTACTTATTCATTCATAGAGTACAGATGTTATATGATGTTGTATCAATGGGTGTTGTATTAGCAGGCATGTGAACAACACTCATCTCCTTGTATGTTTCCATCAGAGCTCTTGGGTGATTAGGTGCTTTGTTAATAAGCAGTAATATTTTGAGAGTATTTTTTTTTCTGAGCAGCAGGTCTCAACAGTGGGCTTAAAATATACAGTAAGCTATTCTGTAAACAGATGTGCTGTCATGCAGGTATTATTGTTCCGTTTGTAGAGCATAGATTTAGCATAAGTTTTAAGGGGACCTAGAATATTTAGAATGGTAGATGTGCATTGGCTTCAACTTAAAGTCACCAGCTGCATTAACCCCTAACAAAAGAGCCTTTTGAGTAATTTTGATACCAGGCATTGACTTCTCTCTAGCTATGTAAAGTCCTAGATGACACCGTCTTCCAATATAAGGATGTTTTGTCTACATTGAAAATCCATTGTTTAGTGCAGCTACCCTCATCAATTATCTTAGATCTTCTAGATAAATTTGCTGCAGCTTTTAGATCATCATTTGCTGTTTTATCTTGCACTTTTATGGAGATGCCTTCTTTTCTTAAACCTCATGAACCAACGTCTGCTAGTTTTAAACTTTCCTTCTGCAGCCCCTTCACCTCTCTCAGCCTTCATGGAATCAAAGAGAGTTAGGGCTTGTGCTAGATTAGGCTTCAGCTTAAGGGAATTTTGTGGTTGGTTTGATCTTTTATCCAGACCACTCAAGCTTTCTCCATATCAGCAAGAAGACTGTGTCAATTTTTTACCATGCATGTGTTCACTGCAATAATATTTTTAATTCTCTTCAAGTTTTCCTTTGCATTTACAATCTGGATAATTCTTTGGCAGAAGAGGCCTGGCTTTCAGCCTATCTCAGCTTTCAACACATCTTCCTCACTATGCCTAATAATTTCTAGTTTTGGTTTAAAGTGAGAGATGTGAGACTCTTCTTTCACTTGAACAGTTAGAGGCCATTTTCATTTCTTAATTGGTCTAATTTAAATATTGTGTCTCAGCAAATAAGGAGACTGAGGAGAAGACGAGATATCAGAAATTGATGAAGCAGTTGGAACACATACAACATTTATCAATTGAGTTTGGCCATATCATATGGGTGCAGTTCTTGGTGCCCAAAGCCGATCGTAATAGTGACATTTAAAAGCACTGATCACAGATCACAATAATAGATATAATATTAATGAGTCCGGGCATGGTGGCTCATGCCTGTAATCCCAGCACTTTGGGAGGCTGAGGTGGATGGATTACCTGAGGTCAGGAGTTTGAGACCAGCCTGACCAGTAAGATGAAACTCCACCTCTACTAAAAATACAAAAATTAGCTGGGCGTGGTGGTGGTGCCTGTAGTCCCGGCTGCTCAAGAGGCTGAGACAGGAGAATCGCTTGAACCAGGGAGGCAGAGGTTGCAGTGAGCTGAGATTGTGCCAATGCACTCCAGCCTGGGCGACAGAGTGAGACTCTGTCTCAATAACATAACAATAATAATAATGAAAAAGTCCAAATAATTGTGAGAATTCTCAAAATGCACATAAAGACATTAAGTGAGAAAATGCTTTTGGTAAAATTGTGCCTATAGACTCATTCAATGCAGGGTTGCCACAAACCTTTAATTTGTAAAAAATGTGATATATTCAAAGAACAATAAAGTGAAGTACAATAAGATAAGGTATGCCTTTATATAACTTATGGAAAAGGCAAAATTCTGAGGATAATACATCATTGTTTATTCAGGGATTCAGTGATGAAGAGAGAAAATTTAGAGCACTGAAACTATTCTGTAAGCCATATTAATGGTGGATACATGACACTTCATTTGTCTAACCCACATAATTTTACAAAACAAAGAATAAAGCTTGATGTATGAAATTTAAAAAATCATCTAGGATGATGTGGCACTCAATGGAACGCATATTGTGTCAAAGGAATCTAACTATATTACAAATGTATGAAATAAACTCACCAAAGAGGATGTGTGAACAAAGTGTTGACATAAGAAATGAGTGCAGTCTGTAAGGATAAAGGCAAAGGTATTGTATATAAGCACATTCCCCAGTTGACAAAATTGCTTCCCATGAGGGTATGGGATAGCATTTCAGAAACCACTGTAAGTACTTATTTTCTGGAATTCAACAATAGTCACTGGTAGATAGTGGGAGCCATGTTTCTCATTGTTGGGATGGAGGATTATAGACAAGCAAGGAGAAGAGGCTGGAGCTGGAGACATTGGAATGACATCATGTTCATTTTTATATAGACACAAATAGTTACATATGAAAATATTTACAGATATGTATATATACATGGGTTGGTATGCACACATAAATTTCTCACAGCTGAGGTCAAAGAAACAATTATGTCCCAGTAGCAATTAGCACACTCATAACTCAGATCTTGGTTTCTAATAGTCTTCTCCAGTAAAAGGAATCAGGCTCTTTAGGACAATGGCTGATTCTAGGACTGGCACAGGAAATATACAAGATGTGTGCAGATCATCCTGAATGTCTCAAAAGTATGGAGTACTACAATAAAAAAATAGGCAAAGATGCAGGTATGTCGAAGTGAAATTGAAGCCAAATAATAGGGCTTCCAATGGCCAAATACAAATAATTCTGAGCGACAAAACACATAAACATCACTGTATTATAGCTTACATTATAAAATATTCACAAATCTATAATGATATAAATGATTGTATAAATTAATTGTGAGAACAAACACATAGCCCAGGCAGAATTCCAAATAGTTTATACAGCTATTCTGCTCTCAGGAGATTGAGCATAACTTTCTATTTTTTAAGGACAGGCTGTGCTTAGTGACTTTGTTCTGAAGAATATAGCATGGGAAGGTGAAAAAGTAACTTTATTGTGGAGGCGTCTACAAACACTACCTCAGCCAGGTGATGAAAATTAACATCCATAAAGATAAGTCATATTGGTAGTTTGTATCCTTGATATGATGTGGTAAGAATGGCACTTAATCTTTGAGGTGCTCCTTCCAAAAATCTAAAACCCTAGTCTAATAAAAATTAACAGACAGACCCAATTAATGGATATTCTATAAAATACCTGACAAGTACTCCTTAAAACTGTCAAGTCTTAAGAGAAATTCTGACAAACTGTCACAGCTAAGAGGTGCCTAAAGAGGCATGATGACTAAACATGATGTGCTGTGTTGGCTGAAATCATGGAAGAGAAAAAGGACATTCATTAAAAAATGAGTAAAGTACTGACTTAATTAATAAAGTATCAATATTGATTCATTAACTGTGACACATGGACCATGCTAATATAAGATGTTAATAATGGAGAGACATGGGTTTTGGGTATAAGGGAACTCTCTGTACTATCTTTGTAATTTTTCTATAAAACTAAATGTATTCTTAAAAATTTTAAAGATAATCCTGTTCTTAAGGGTGACTGTTAAATGACACTCTTATTTCCCACTAATGATAAGAAAAATATAAAACAAAGGTGTGGCAGGTGAAGGCCATATTATGATTTTAATTTCCAATAACAGCTATTTTCAGGGATATAAATTAATGTGAGAAGATAGAGGTCCTGCCTTTAGAAACCTAAGAAGAGCTGATTTTCTCACCTTGCTCTAGTTTATAGCTTGAGGCACTGCTGGTGAGAGTCTGATGCTAATTGGATTTCTTCCTTTTGAGGGCAAGGGTAGCAGTGACAGGGATCCTGGCAATTTCAACTGGACACATCAGGTTTTTCTGTTTTTCTTAGAACGAAGGAATATTCCATCCTGTAAGCTTATAACATTAATCTATCTGAGGCCTCATTAAAATATTATTATGTAGAACCAAATATTTATTCAGGTTAAAGTAAGTTCCCTTGTTATTTTTTTAAAATAAACACCTCTTTTGCATTTGGTCCTTTTTTCTTTCTTCAACTCCTATTCTGAAGCTGTTTCCTGGCTCTGTACTTTAAGTCTTTCATTGCATATCATGCCTGTCTCTTTTGTCTATATTTTGAGATATGCTTTCCATTTAATCTTCTAGTCAATCTCTTTCTTTCCTAACATGTTCTGCTTCCTTTGGAAAAATCTAGGTCCTTTCCTGAGCCTCCTCACCCAGTCTCCTGAAAGTTGCTTAGCAGACTAACGAACAAACTCTCATGCTGTTCTCTCCTGTAGAGATCACAGAAAAGCCTGGACCCTCAGATGTGTCCTCAAGCTCAGCAAACCTACATAGGCAGCTGCTCTTATACTCAAAGAAGCTAGATAGGAAAGCAAGAAGGCAAAAGGACTAGAGGAGAATTTTTTTTTCACATTTGCCCACAGGAGTAAGAGTTAGATAAATTTCAAAAGACCAAAACTAGACACCCAAGAATGTCAGAACATAAGATTCTGTGGTATGTAACATGAGTATGTTTTAAATATTTTAAAGTAATACAGGATATAAACAAAATTGGAATGGAAAAATAAGATACCATGAAAAATGACCAGGCATGTTTAAGAACCAAGTAATGCTTTTACAAATGAAAAGAATAATTACGTAAATAAAATGTCAATGAAAGTTTTCAACAAGCAGTGCTAGACCAACTGAATAATTGTCTTGAAAAAACTCCATCATAGAAAATCTTAATTTGAGGCTTATAGGCCCAAATGTAAATGCTAACACAATAAAGTTTATAGAAGAAAATGTTGAACAGTATTTTCTCAGTCTTCTAGGCAAAAATTCTTTAGATATAACATAAAAATGACCAACTATAAAATAATATATGGGATTTAATAAAAATTAAACTCTGGTCATTAAAAGATATCTTTAATATATTTCAAATGGACAGGCTGAGATAGAGTATTTGCAATACACACATCTGATGAAAAACTTGCATCCCAAATGTATAAAGAATGCTTACAGATGAATAATAATAAGACAAATGACTCGATTTAAAATGGGCAAAATATGTGAACACTTTACAAATGTGTACACATACCCCCTTCACCTGCCTCACCCCTCAGTGCCCACCTTATCACCAAGTACCAGATAAGGTGCTCAAAATCAATAATCATAAGAGAATTGCAAATAACATTGCTATGATCTGAATGTGTCCTTCAAAATTCATATGTTGAAACTTAATGGGCAATGTGATAGTATTATGAAGGTGGGGCCTTTAGGAGATAATTAAGTCATGAGGGTAGAGCCTTCCTGAATGGGATTGTGACCATGTAAAACAAGTCGAAGAGAGTGCCCTAGCCACCCCTTCCCTTCCTTTCCTTCTGTCATGTGAGGACACAGCATTTGTTCCTGTCAGAGGACATAGCAACAAGGCACCATCTTGACAGGAGTGAGACTCCACCAGACACTGAATTTTCCAGGGCCTTGATCTTAGACTTTTCTGCTTCCAGAACTGTGAGAAATAAATATCTCTTCTTCATAAGTTATCCAGTCTCAGGTATTTGGTTATAGCAGGACAAATGAACTAAGACAAAAACCATAAAGGAATATGACTATATTCTCTAAAATCATTAAAAAGACTGACAACACCAGTGTTAGCATATGTGGCAACTGAGATAGCCATACACTGTTGGTAGGAATATAAAATTTTAAAGCATTTTGAAGATCAATTTGGCAGTTTCTTATAAAAGGAAGCATATACTAACAATTTTACTCCTAGGTATTTACCTAAAAGTAATGAAAGCATATGACCCAAAAGGAATCATACAAAACCATTTATAGTAGTTCCATTGACAATAGCCAAAACATATTTGCAACCTAAATGTCCATCAAAGCAATGGATTCAAAATTTGGATATGGTCATACATACTACTCAGCTAGGAAAAATCATATAAATTAATGTGTCAAAAATCACAGTAGATACAAATGTACTAAACTTGCTGTGTATATATAAATATTTTCATGTTGAATGAAAAATTGCCCAGTGTTACATTGCTTATAACATGTTACTCCTTAGGATTAGGTTTAGCTGTCAGTAACAATAGCAACAACAAAATAATAATGTAGAAGACTATCTTCTCATCCTAAAGGAGTTCAGCGATGATATGTCCAGTCAGTCCAGGAAAGGATATTCACTTCACCACCATCACAGAGCAAGGTACTTCCATTTTGCTCATCTATTATATTAATTGTCCCACAGCATTTGCAAAGATGGCTGCTCCAGCTACAGACATTAGGTCTGCATTCCAGCCAACGAGAAAGAAGATTTGAAGAAGGCAATATGCCATCTCTTTAAGAACTGATCGAGGGAGCAAGATGGCCAAATATAAGCCTCCACTGATCATCCTTCCCACAGGAATACTAAATGGAACAAATATCCACATTAAAAAAACACCTTTGATCTGGGCGTGGTGGCTCACACCTGTAATCCCTGCACTTTGGGAGGCTGAGGCAGGAGGATCACCTGAGGTCAATAGTTCCAGACCAGCCTGGCCAACATGGTGAAACCCTGTCTCTACTAAAAATACAAAAAAACCAAATCAAACAAAACAAAACAAAACACCAATTAGCCAGGCATGGTGGCGGGCACTGTAATCTCGGCTACTTGGGAGGCAGGAGAATCGCTTGAACCCAGGAGGCGGAGGTTGCAGCGAGCCGAGATAGCACCACTGCACTCCAGCCTGGGTGACAGAGCGAAACTCTGTCTCAAAAAACAAAACAAAAACAAACAACACCTTCATAAAAACCCCAGATCAGGTGAGTAATCACGTACTTGGTTTTAACTTCGTAACACTGAAAGAGTCACTGAAGAGAATAGGGAAGACACTCTTTAATTGTTGCCACTACCACCCTCCTCCCATCCCCTGGGAGCAGCTGTGTGGTGCATAGAATTTCTGTGCTTGGGAGAGGGAGATTGCAGTGATTGTGGAATCTTGCATTGGAATCCAATGCTGCCTGTCACAGTGCTAAGCAACACAGGGCAGAACTAAGCTGCTGCCCATGGAGAAAGCATTTAGACCAGCCCTAGTCAGAGGAAAATGCCCATTCCAGTGGTTGGAGCCTGAGTTCTGGCAAGTTTTGCCACCATGTGCTAAGGTGTTCTGGGATCCTAAATAAACAAGAAAATCAGTTTAGGCCACAAGGACTGCAATTCCTGGGAAAGTCCTGATCCTGTGCTGGGATTGGAGCTGGTGGACTTGGGAGGAATGTGGCCTACTGAGACACCAGCCAGAGTGGCTAAGGGAGTGCTTGTGCCACCTCTCCCACCACTCCAGACAGCATAGCTCACAGCTCTGGGAGAGACTCCTTCCCTCTGCATGAGGAAAGGAGAGGGAAGAGTAAAGAGGACTTTGTCTTACGATGTAGAAACTAGCTCAGTCACAGTAGGTTAGGACACCAGGCAGAGTCCTGTGGCCCCCTTTCCAAGCCCTAGCTCCTCGACAACATTTCTGGACACACCCTGGGCCAGAAGAGAACTTGATGCCTCCAAGGGAAGGGCCCAGTCCTGGTGGGATTCATTACATGCTGACTAAAGAACTGTTTGGCTTTGAATAATCAGCAACAGTACCCAGGCAGTACTCACCATGGGCCTTGGGTAAGACTCACAGGCATGCTGGCTTCAGGTGTGACCCAGAACATTCCTAGCTGTGGTGGCAGTCGGGAGGGAATCCTTCTGCTCGTGAAAAGGAGAGGGAAGAATAAAGGGGATTTTGTCTTGCAGCTTAGGTACCAGCTCAGCCACAGTGGGGTAGAACACCAAGTGGGCTCTTGCAGTCCCTGATTACAGGCCTTGGCTCTTAGCATTTCTGGACCTGCCCTGGGACAGAGGGAAGCCCACTACTCTGAAGGGAGAGTCGCAGACATTGTAGCATTCACCATAAGCTGACTGGAGAGCCCTCAGGCCTTGAATGAACATCTGTGGTAGCCAGATAGTACTCACCGTGGTACTGGGGTAGTAGTGGCCATGGAAGGATACTCATCTGCTTGCGGAATGAGGAGGCAAGAGTGGGAAAGACTTTGTCTTTTGTCTTGGGTGCCAGCTTAACTGCAGTAGAATAGAGCATTAGGTAGATTTTTATCTAACTCCAAGTCCTGGCTTCTGGATGATATCTCTGAGCCCACTTGGGACTGGGGTTGGTGGGGGACTCACTGTCCTGAAAGGATGGACATAAGCCTGTGTGGCTTTACCACCTGCTGATTATAGAGTATAATGCACATATGGTTGCAATGACTAAAACTTGATCATAACATGCAAGTCTTCTTGAATACCTGGAAACTCTTTCCAAGAAGGATGGGTACAAACAAGTGCAGACTATGAAGTCTACAATAAATACTTAACTTTGCAATGTATAGACACGAATGAACATCCACAATCATCAAGACCATCCAGAAAACTTGACCTCACCAAATGAGCTAACTAGGCACCAATGATCAAACTTGGAAGGACAGAGATATGTGACCCTTCAGACAGAGAATTCAATATAGCTGTTTGAGGAAGCTCAACTAAACTTAAGATAACACAGAGAAGGAATTCAAAATTCTATCAGATAAATTTAGCAAGGAGGTTAACTTAAAAGAATCAAGCAGAAATTCAGTAGCTGAAAAATGAAATTGAAACACTGAAAATGCACCTGAGGCTCTTAACAACATAATTAATCAAACAGAAATAATTAGTGAGATTGAAGATTATTTGAAAATACACCAAGGAGACAGAAAAATAATAATAAAGCATGAAGCATACCTAAAAAGTCTGAAAATAGTCTCAAAACGGTAAATCTGAGAATGATTGGTCTTAAAGAGGATGTAAAGAAAGAGATAGGGGTAGAAAGTTTATTCAAATGGATAAAAACAGACATCCTCCCAAACCTAGAAAAGATATTAATATCCATGTACAAGAAGGATATAGAACACCAAGCAGATTTAACACAAAAAAGACTACTTCAAGACATTTAATAATCAAACTTCCAACTATCAAGGACAAAAAAGGGTCCTAAAGTCAGCAAAATAAAAGAAACAACATACAGTGGAACTCTGATACACCTGGCAGCAAACTTCTCAGTGGAAACCCTACAGACCAGGAGAGAGTGGCATGACATACTTAACGTGCTGAAGGAAAAAAAAAAGTTTATCCCAGCATAGTATATTCAGTGAAAATATCCTTCAGACATGAAGGAGAAATATTATCTCAGACAAGCAAAAATTGAGGAAATTCATCAAGACTAGACTTGTCCTATAAGAAATGCTAACAGGAGATTTTCAAAGTGAAAGAAAAGGACATTAATGAACAATAAAAAACCATCTGAAGGTATAAAACTTACTGGCAACAGTAAGTATACAGAAAAACACAATCTTATAAAACTTATGGTGGTAAACTCATATTGAGTAGAAAGACTGAAAGATAAAATGATCAAAAATAATAACTACAACATCTCAAGACATAGTACACTAAGATATAAATAGAAACAAGAAGTGGGTGTATGAAGTTAAACAAGGTAGATATTTCCAAGATCCAATGGGGATTCAGGCATTGGGTAAATTCTCCCATTCCAATTAGCCAAAAAAAGGGGCTACAGGCCCTTTGCAAGTCTGAAACCCAGCAGGGTAGTCATTAAATCTTAAAGCTCCCAAATAACCTTCTTTGACTCCATATCTCAAAGCAAGGACATACTGATGCAAGGGGTGGGCACTTATTGCCTTGGGCCACTCTGTCCTTGTGGCTCTGCAGGGTACAGCCCCCACAGCTGCCTTCAAGGGCTGACATTGAAGGCCTGTGGCTTTTCCAGGTGCATGATGAACCTGGAATGGTGGATCTGGAATGCACCAGAATGGTGGATCTACCATTCTGGGATCTGAAAAGCAGTGGCCCTCTTCTCACAACTCCACTAGGCAGTTCCCCAGTGAGGACTCTTGGGGGGGGGGAGGCGGGGGCTCTAACCCCACATTTCCCCTCTGTACTGCCCTAGTAGAGGTTCTCCATGAAATCTCCATCCCTGCAGCAGCCTTCTGCCTTGACATCCACGCATTTCCATACATCCCCTGAAATCTAGATGGAGGCTCCCAAATCTCAGCTGTTGCCTTCTGTGCCTCTGTAGGCCCAACATCACATGGAAGCTGCCAAGACTTGGGGCTTGCACCCTCTGAGGCAATGGCCTGAGCTGTACCTTGTCTCCTGTTAACCACAGCTGGAGCTGGAGTGGCTGGGACTGGGGGCACCATGTTCCAAGGCTGCACAGAGTAACAGGGCTCTGGGCCCAGCCCAGGAAACCATTTTTCCCTTATAGGCCTCCAGGTCTGTGATGGGAGGGGCTGCTGTGAAGACCTCTGAAATGTCCTGGAGACTTTCCCAATTGTCTTGGCTATTAACATTTGGCTTCTCTTTACTTAGGCAAATTTATGCAGCCAGCTTGAATTTCTCCTCAGGAAATGGGCTTTCTTTTCTACCACATGGGGAAGCCGCAAATTTTCCAAATTTTTGTGCTTTCCTTCCTTTTTAAAGATAAGTTCCAATTTCAGGCCAAATCTTTCTTCATGCATATGAGCATACATTTTACAAACAGCCAGGTCACATCTAGAGTGCTTTGCTGCTTAGAAATTTCCTCCACCAGATACCCTAAATCATCTCTCTTAAATTCAAAGTTCCAGAGATGTCTAGGGCAGTGGCAAAATGCCACCAATTTCTTTGCTAAAGCATAACAAGGGTGACCTTTACTCCAGTTGCCAATCAGTTCCTCATCTCCATCTGAGACTACTTCAGCCTGGACTTCACTGTCTATATCACTATCCGCATTTTGGTTAAAACAATTCATCAAGCCTCTAGAAAGTTTCAAACTTTCCTATATCTTCCTGTCTTCTTTTGAGCCCTCCAAACTCTTCCAACCTCTGTCTATTACTCAGTTCCAAAGTTGCTTCCACATTTTCAGGTATCTTTATAGTAGTGCTCCACTCGTGGTATCAACTTTTTGTATTAGTCCATTCTCACATTGCTATAAAGAACTAACTGAGACTGGGTAATTTATGAAGAAAAGAGGTTCAGTTGACTCAGTTTTGCAGGCTTAACAGGAAACATGAGTGGGAGGCCTCAGGAAACTTACAACTATGGTGGAAGGCAAGGGAGAAGCAAGCGTATCTTACTATGGCAGAGGAGTGGGGAGAGAGAGAGAGAGATAGAAGAGGGAAGTGCCACACACATTTAAGCCATCAGATCTCATGAGAACTCTCTCACTATCACAAGAACAGCAAGAGGGAACTTCGCCCCCATGATTCAGTCACCTCCCACTAGGCTCCCCTTTCAACATGTGGGGATTACAGTTTAAGACGAGATTTGGGTGGGGACACAGAGCCAAACCACGTCACTAGCAAATCAAATTCAATGACACATTGAAAAAATCATAATCACCAAGTGGGATTTATCCAGGCATGCAAGTATGGTTCAACATATGCAAATCAATAAATTTGATATATCAACCGAATGAAAGACAAAAACCGTAAAATCATTTCAATTGGTGCTGAAAAAGCGTTTGATAAAATTAAGATCCCTTCATGTTAAAAATCCTCAAAGAACTAGGTATAGAAAGAACATACATCAGCACAATATAAGCCATATATGACAGACCCACAGTTAGTATCATTCTGAATAGGGAAAATCTAAAATCCTTCCCCCTAAGATCTGGAATGAGACAAGGATACCCACGTTCACCACTGTTATTTAACATAGTACTGGAAATTCTAGCTAGAGAAACAAGATGAAGAAATCAAGGACATCCAAATTGGAAAAGAAGAAGTTAAATTATCCTTATTTGCAGATGATATAATCTTATATTTGGAAAAAGCTAAAGACTCCACCAAAAAGCTATTAGTAGTGGTAGACAAATTCAGTATGGCTGCAGGATACAAAATCAACATACAAAAATCAGTAGCATTTCTATATGCTAATAGTGAAGAATCTAAAAAGTTGAGAAAGTAATTCCATTTATGATAGCCACAAATAAGAACTAAACCAAAGATGTGAAAGATCTCTGTACTGAAAACTATAAAACATTGATGCAATAAATTGAAGAGGGGACAAAAAATGAAAAGATACTTTATTGTTCATGGGTTGGAAGAGTCAATATTGTTAAAGTGTCCATACTACCCAAAGCAATCTGCAGATTGAATGCAATCCCTATGAAAGTACCAGTGACATTCTCCACAGAGATAGAAAAAATAATCCTAAAATGTATATGAAACTACAAAAGACCTAGAATTGTGAAAGCTATCCTGAATAAAAAGAACCAAACTAGAGGTATCACGTTACCTGACTTCAAATTATACTACAGAGCAATAGTAACCAAAGCAGTACTGTATTGGCATAAACATAGACACATAGATCAATGGAATAGAACGGAGAACCCAAAAACAAATCCATACATCTATAGTGAACTATTTTTTGAGAAAGGTGCCAAGAACATCCATGGGAGAAAGGATTGTCTCTCAATAAATGGTTCTGGGAAAACTGGATATCCATATGCAAAAGAATGAAAGTAAACCCCTATCTCTCACCGTATGCAAAAATAAAATCAAAATGAATTAAAGAATTAAATCTAGGACCTCAAACTATGAAACTATTAAACAAATACTTTGGGGAAACTCTCCATAACTTTGGATTGGGCAAAGATTTCTTGAGTAATACCCCACAAGCACTGGCAACCAAACAAAAGTGGATAAATTATATCACATCAAGTTAAAAAGCTTTTGCACAGCAATCAACGATGTGAAGAGACAACCCATGGAATGGGAGGAGCTATTTCCAAATTATCCATCTGACAAGGGATTAATAACCAGAATATATAAAGAGCTCAAACATCTGTATAGGAAAAAAATCTGGTAATTCCATTTAAAATGGGCAAAAAATCGGAGTAGGCATTTCTTAAAAGAGGACATACAAATGGAAAATGAGTATATTAAAAGGTGCTCAACATCACTGATCATCAGAGAAATGGAAATTTAAACTACAATGAGATGTCATCTCCTGTTAAAATGGTGTTTATCCAAAAGTCAGGCGATAACAAATGCTGGCAAGGATGTGGAGAAAAGGGAAACCTACTTGTTTGCTGCTGGTGGGAATGTAAGTTTAACCACTATGGAGAATAGTTTAACGTTTTCTGAAAAAACTAAAAATAGAACTACCATATGTTTTGCAATCCCACTGCTAGGTAAATACCTAAAAGAAAGGAAATTGGTGTATCAAAGAAATATCTGCACACCCATGTTTGTTTCAGCACTGTTCACAATAGCCAAGATTTGAAAGCAACTCAAATGTCCACCAACAGACAAATTAAGAAAATGTGGCACATATACACAATGGAATACTATTCAGCCATAAAAAAAATTAGATCTTGTCACTTGTAACAACATGGATGGGACTGGAGGTCATTATGTTAAATGAAATAAGCCAGTCACAGAAAGACAAAATTTGCATGTTCTCATTTATTTGGGGAACTAAATTTTAAAAAATTGAACTCATTGAGATAGTAGAATGATGGTTACCAGAGGCTGGAAGGGTATTGGGGATGTGTGTGTGGAGGGGGAATGTGTGTATGGTTAATGAATGTGAAATTATAATTAGAATGAACAAGTTATTCTATTTCATAGTAGAACAGGATGACTACAGTTGACAATGATTTATTGTACATTTCAAAATAACTAAGTATATTTGGATTGTTTGTAATACAAAGAAAGGATAAATACTTGAGATGATAGATACTCCATTTATCCTGATGTGATTATTATGCATTGTATGCCTGTATCAAAATATCTCATGTACCTCATCAATATGTATACTTACTATGTACCCCCAAAAATTAAAAACTAAAATGACTGCTTCTGGAAATTGTACATACCATTTATAGTTATAACTCATTGGTCAAAAATTTAGTCACATGGTCACACCCAACTGCAAGAGGCAGGGATACACATTTTTATGCTTGATAAGAATATACTGAACTAAAATCTAAAGATTCTGTTTTTTTATTAAGGAAAGAAAATGTACAGATATTGGAAACAATCTACAGTTATTGCCACAAAGAAACATACCTGCAATATATGTACACAGAAATGTTGATAGTACAAGAATGAATGTGACTAAAAAATTGAAGTAACTAGAAGTAGCTATAGTAATACAAAACAAAAAGAAATAAAACTTTTGAGAATTAAGGTGACACTATATAATTATATATGGTTTATCATATCAGGAAATATAAATTTTTTTCAACTCATTTGTATTTAGCAATATAGCCTAAAATATATATATATAAAAACCTATCAAAAATATAAAATTAGTCTAATCATTAGGAACAATTATATAAATCAAAATTAAGGATTGTCTTGCAAACATATAGCAATGGCTCTTCAAAATATCAGTGTCATGAAAGACAAAATTTTCTGGGAACTCTTCCAGATTAAAGAAGACTAAAGAGACAGTGGCAACTAAGTGTCATTCATGACCCTTTATTGTTTTCTGAATGAAAAAAAAACTATAAAATTTTAAAAACTATAAAGCCCATTACCAGTGTAATTGTGGAAATTCTAATGTGGACTGTATACTAGATAAATGATTTGTATTTAAATGTTAAATTTCCTAATAACTGTATTATGGTTATGTGGGCTAATTTGCTTGTTTTTAGAACTCAAGGGCAGAAGTATTTAGTGACAAAGCCTCATGACATCTGCCTATCTCTATCACTATCTCTTTCTACACACATACATGCACACACACACATACACACACAATCTATGACATATTAAGCAAAGCAGTACATATGATCACTTTACTCATGTAACTAATGGGCAATTAGCATGCTTTAGTTTTTAACCTCTTTTCCACTGCCAGATTATGGGTGATTTTGCTGAAGCAATTAACTTTCCTGTGTTCTCTTCTTTCTTAAGTATGCTAGTGATTTCTTAAAGGTTTTCCAAGAAATACGTCAATGAGAAAGATCATCCTAGAAAGAGAAAGTCAGGTTTTCTGCCTTAGAAATTGCTATAATCTTCTGGCATTTCTTTTGATTCTGTCTTCTCTAATATATAATGGTAAGCTCCTAATTTGGTCGTTTTTAAATGAGAATTTTCAGTACTTACTAATTTACTTAGCAAGTGTACCAAATTATAGGAAAACACAGAGGTTAATTTCAGACACTATGTTCTTCTTATAGACATAGTTGTCAAAATACTCAAATACTTTTGCTATGATTCGTAATAGCTGCTGACTCAAGTTCCTGCAGTCCCAGGCCTCCTCTCACGCCACTAAAATGCTTCCTGTGTGACCCTAGGACAACTGTGTGACCCATCAACTAAAGGATTGGGTGTAGGTATAACAAGGTCCTCCCAGGGTCCTGCTCAGCCTAAAGTCAGCATCCATGCTGATTGGCCAGTGCTCATGCAGTACCGAGTTTTAGATACTTAGAAGAATGCCTGAAGAAACAATCTTTTAAGGCCTGATATGAAGAAATCTCTTGAAATAAAAAAAGACAAAGTATTAGACCATCTGTTTCACTGTTTTAGTGAAAACAGTATTCACTGTATATGCACCTGCATACACATATCTCATATGGTTATTAGGATATTGGTGATTTCTAAATGAAATTGTTAATCATGAATTATGTGTCATTTTTGTTTCCTTTATACTTTTATGTATTTTAAAAGTTCAACTAGGGCATCTATTTAAAAGTTTAGGTGGTTTTGTCTTTTTTGTTTGTTTTTCTGAAGTCAAATTGCATTTTCCATTGTGGCAAACACTTGTGAAGTTCTATTTTTTTCTATGATAGCAGAATATATCAACATAACATTGGACAAATTAATATCTCCTTAACATTTTAAATTATCTGAAATTTAAAAGACATTGTGAGAGCTGTCTCCCAAGTCCTGTGCCAATAGTCTTTGACTGAGGATACTATATATATTAGTATTACTGTGTTTTATATATATTAAGATATAGTTATGAACTATAGATATGCATACATAAGCTAATGTGTGTATATATGGACATACACATGTTGTTATAAGCTATATGTGAGTATCTGTATGGCAACAACATGGAAAACATGTTTTGAATAATATTGTCTTTTCACCCACACTCAAAGAAGCCTCTCTAGCATTCATACTCACATATCCCAACTTTATATTATTTAATATTTTAAAATTCTTTAATTTTAATTTTATAATTTGATGACGGTATCTCAGTTTTTATTATAAAGTATAATTCTATGTGACTCTAAATCTTGGAAGGATTCTTAGCTTTTCACAGGTGAAATTCGAGGCCCAAGTACTAGTAATTCTATCAAAATCTCAAAAGAAACATTTTGATCCATGAGCATTTCTCTCACTAGCAGAAAAGACAAATACATTGAGGTGATAGCAGAATAATAATGTTGAGGAAAATGCAATTATTTCTGAATAAATAAATATAAAGATGATTTAGCTCTGGACAGCTGAACTCCCAGTGAGAGATTTTGTGCAGATTAAAGCAATCATATCAATGATGTGAACACATGAGAAGAACATGGCAGGTCAGGGAGCGGAGTGGGGATGGGAAGAGAGGAGAGCCCAGTCAAACTATCCCAAAGGATCTTAGAAAGGCACCTTAAAACACATGTTGGTAATTGTTTAAAAAGTTCTTAAAATGCAGTAAAATATTCTCTATTTCAAGAAAATACCAAAACATATTTTCTTACAGTACCTCAATGACAAAATATTCAATAACTCAATGATAAAAGATTCATAGGACAGCAACATCAATTTTACTTAAAATGTAGGTATCTCTTTTCTTCAAAAAATGTATTATTCAAGTAATTTGAATCAAAGGACACTAATGAGCCAAAAGATTACTTTCTCCTTATGGAAAGTCAGGGCCTTTTTTCATTTCTATTTTTCCTCTTCCTTTTGACAGCATTTTAAGCTCTCCATCTCTGTCTCATTCACGTGTTCTCCTTTTTGCCTCTTACAATAATACACTCCTCTGATTCTCCTACCTCTTTGGTCATTCTTCCTCTCCCTCTAACCAACTTAATAGCCCTGATTTCCTGTTCAAATTATCTTTCATAATCCATATGCTATAATAATTTTAGTTATTATTTATCTGATATTTATTTCTAAATTTCTACCTGTGTCGCTGATACTTTACTTGTGCTTAAGTTCTTTATTTCCAACTCTCTGTAATTGTTCCTTCATATGCAATATGTTTAAAACAAAATTCACAGCACACACCCCCTAAATAACCCCCAAAAGATCCTCAACTTTTCCCTTTTGAGGATGGTGTCTGAAGTGAAATAAAACTGGGTTCAAACTCAGTTTTGCATCTTATTAACTGTGGGATTATAGGGAATGTTTCTCTTTCCCTTTCGGTCTATTTTTGGGGATAAATGAGATTGGATATGTGAGATTATGTGTCTCTCACAGGGTGCATTATTTTGTTTTCACACTGCTAATAAAGACATACCTGAGAGAAAAGAGGTTTAGTGGACTAACAGTTCCACAGGCTGGGGAGGTTTCACAATCATGGAAGAAGGCAAAGGAGGAACAAAGGTATATCTTACATGGTGACAGGCGACAGAACTTGTGTAGGAGAACTCCCCTTTATAAAACCATCAGAACTTGTGAGACGTATTCACTGTCACAAGAACAGCATGAGGAAGACCTGCCACCATGATTCCATCACCTCCCACTGGGTCCCTCCCACGACACATGGGAATTATGGGAGCTACAGTTCAAGACGAGATTTGAGTGGGGACACAACCAAGCCATATTACGGGGTAAGAGCTCAATAATATTAATTGTATTCTCTTGTTCATCTCTTGATAGAGTAGGAAGAATAATGGACACCCAAAGATGCCCATATCCTAATCCCTGGAATCTGTGAATATGTTCTTGCATGGCAAAGGGAACTTTTTAGATGTGACTAACTTAAGGATCTTGATATGGAGATATTACCCTGAATTATTTGAGTGAGTCTAGTATAATCACAAGGGTCCTTATAAAGGAGAAGATAAATTTTTGTTGTTTTAGCTACTAATCCTGTGATATTTGTTACAGCAGTAGTTGGAAACTAACATGCATGCACTTGGAAATGCCATTCATCAAGTGGAATGCAACTTCCTATGATAAGTTCTTCATTCTCATTTTACTTTGTGTACTATGTTTAAAAAAGTAAAAAATCTGTTATTTCATCCTTTAAGTTGTGTGATTTATCTGTTCTGCAGTGCTTCATGGATAGGTTATTATTATTATATAGGATATAATAACCTGGATAGGTTATTATAAAGATGCCCTATCTGTTGTCCCTGTTTCTTGATTATCTGAGAGTCAGGCGATTTTAAAATTACCAAAATACCAGTTTGATCTTTTCACTTCTAGGTTCAAAATACAATAATGGCTCTATTTTCTTCCACATCAATTTCATCTCTGTCTTGCTTTCCCTAATGTGATTTACTAAACAGCCTTTCTCTCTATCCATCTCCCACATTAAACTTTAAAGTTATTAAACATGTCTTATTCTTGCACTGTGCACACACATTTCTCTCTCTCTGTCTTTGCTTATGCTTTTTCTGTCTCCTGGGCCCCTCTATCCCTTGCTTTCTGCCCTTTCAAATCCATATCTCTCTTTATAGCCAGGCAAGGCTTACTAGCCCTGACTCATTTCATCAAGGATTGCAGAAGTTAGAAAAGCTTCACTCCTGAGGATGCTCTCTTACTTCCTTGCAGTTTAGCTCTTAAAAGTTTACTCTTTTCTCCACAACTAAAGTATAAACTTTGTTTAGGGTTGGTGACGTCTTATACTTTTTAATATAATCACACATATATATATGTGTGTGTCTATACTTATAAAATGATATGACATTTTATAAATAATCACATATTCAAAATAATTGCTGAATAAATTATTTGCATATAGAATAATATCTATATTTAATTTTCCCTGTTTGGAAAATTTTAAAATGTAACATCTCATTTATTCATTTACCAAATTTGCAATGACTAATGTGACTTGAAAGAAAAATTATGATCATATGATGATTTTCTTATTTACATAATTAGTAACCATAATTTAGTGAATCACAGATTTCCAACATTTTCCACATTTAATTACCTAAATTAATGATATGCTAAGTTCCCATTTTTTAATGCATACACTTATTTCTCAGTAACCACTTTTTGGTTCACTTGATAGTAGTTTCTATATGTGTGCTAAGTCTGTTTTGAATATGTGCCACTCCACTGTAATGATGATTTCGTTCAAATTAAGAATCAAAGACTAGAAAAGTTAAGAATTTGTTCTTGTTCAACATTGAACTAAGACTTAGCTTGAACTAAAATATTCCAGGTATTCTAACTTGTGCCAGTGAGATCTGGAATACTCAAAAGAGTAGAGGGAAGTATCTCTCTTGAGAAGGGGATTTTATTTACCTGGAATTTGTAAAGAATGTCATCTCATAATTTTTTTTATCAAGTTTCTTTTGTGTTAAAATCACCTGGTGACTTGTTCTAAATATGCAGGGTCTCTGGGCCAATCTGAGATTTTCTGATTCAGAAAACCTGAATGGGAATGGAAACTCAGAATGATGAGGGGTTGAGAGGGGTGTGGATGATGATAAATTACTTAATGGGAACAATGTATGTTATTGAAATGATGAATACTCTAAAAGCCCTGACTTCACCACTCTGCAATGTGATCATATGATGATTTTCTTATTTACATTACATAATTAGTTACATAATTAGTAACAGTAATTTAGTGAATCACAGGTTTCCAACATTTTTCAGATTTAATTACCTAAATTGATGATATGCTAAGTTCCGATTTTCTAATGCATACACTTATTTCTCAGTATCCACTTTTTGTTCACTTGATAGTAGTTTGTATATATGTGCTAAGTCTGTTTTGAATATGTGCCATGTAACAAAATTACACCTACACCCCATACATTTATTTATTTTTTTAAAGACCTGGATAGTTTCCTGGAATAAGCATTTTTGGCAAGCTCCACAGGTGACACTTATATAAGTTGTTCATGTTACAGATCTTGAGGAACACTAGCAAATAACAGCCACTTAGGTGTGTGTAGCCTATGTGCTGTTACATATGTGATGATTAAAGCGATGTCACAATAGGGGGACAGGAAGCATTATTGCACTCTTCTTCCAGATGGGACATCAGTTTTCAGTTCAAGGCCATCAGAAAATTATTCACCTCAAGAAAAGAAAATGAGTATAATCCACCCAACGTTTGCTGAAAAAATAAAATGGGGAACAACAATAGTTAATCATAAAAAGTGGTGACCAAAAGTAAGATAAACAGACATCTAACATTTTAAAATTATTTTTAAATTTTTATTTTAATGTTATTTAATTGATGTACATAATAATTACATATATTTATGGGGTACATTGTGATATTTTCTTACGTATACACATTGTGGAATAATCAAATCAGGCTCGTTACTATGTTCATTATCTCAAATATTTATCATTTCTTTGTGGTGAGAACATTTAAAATCCTTTTTTAGCTTTTGGAAATATACAATACATTAGTGTTGACTGTAGTCATCAGGCTGTGCAACAGAACTTATTCTTTCTAACTGAAACTTTGTACCTTTTGACAAAAGCCACCCCTTTTCCCATCTACTACTCCCTCCCCCAGCCTCTGGTGACCACCATTCTACTCGCTGCTTCTGTAATTTCAACTTTTTTAGGTTCCACGTATAAGCTCATACAGTATCTATCTCTTTGTACCTTGAATATTTCGTACAACGTAAAGTCCTGTAGGTTCATATATGTTGTCACAAATGACAAAATTTATTTTTTTAAAGCTGAGGAGTATTCTGTTTTGGATATGTACCACATTTTAAACATCTATTTGTTGATGGGCACTTCGAATGTTTCCATATCTTGGACATTGTTGGACATTGTGAATAATGCTGCAATGACATGAGAATGCAAACATCTTTAATTCATCTCAAGTTAATTTTTCTATATGGTGAAAGGATAGGATCCACTTTCATTCTCTGCATATGGCTAGCCAGCTATCTCAGTACCACTTATTAAATAGGGAATCCTTTTCCCATAGCTCATTTTTGTCAACTTTGTCAATAACCAGATGGCTGTAGATGTGTGGCTTTATTTCTGGGTTCCCTAACCTGTTCCATTGGTCTATGTGTCTATTTTTTTTTACTAGTACCATACTCTTCTGGTTACTGTAGCTTTATAGTGTGGTTTGAAATTGGGTAATGTGATGCCTTCAGCTTTGTTCTTTTTGCTTAAGATGACTTTGCTTTGCAAATTCCTTTGCAAATATTCTCTCCCAATCTGTGAATTGTCTCTTCACACTGTTACATGTTCCCTTTGCTGTGCAGACACTTTTTAGTTTGATGCAATCCCATTTGTCTATTTTTTGCCTTAATTCCCTGTGGTTTTTAGGGTCTTATCCAAGAAGTTACTGCCCAAACCAAAGTCTTGGGGCTTTTCCCTTATGTTTTCTTCTCATAGTTTTACAGCGTCAGGTCTTACACTTAAGCCTTTAATCTATTTTGAGTTGATTGTCATTTAAGGTATAAGATAAGGGTCCATTTTCCTTCTTTGGCATGTGGATATTCAGTTTTCCTCAACACCATTTATTGGAGAACCTGTCCTTTCACATTGTGTGTTCTTGTCACCTTTGTTAAAACCAATTGACTGTGAATGTGTCAGTATTTCTAGGCTGTCTTATCTCTATCCCATTCCATTGGTCAGACATCCAGCAGATCTGTAAATGTTCAGGGGAAAACTAACCTCCATGAAAATCATTTGATCCAAACCATACATAAAGGCTGAGTAAAGTCAGAGGCGAATACTGACAATAATTAAACCATAATTTGGTTAAAACTGTCTGGGAAGAGAACAGCTATGCACCAAGATCATCAATATCCCAGAACAGAAAAGCAAAATGAAACAAAAGGAACAAAAAGAACAGCTTGGCCAAATAAGAGATATCTTATCTTGGCTAATGATTTGAGCATTTTTATAAGGAGTATGTGAAAATGTATATAAATGTGCCAGCATATTATTTCTTATTTTATGTAAATATACCTAAATTGGTTATATGAGAAAAGAGACATGATTCTCTATGCTGAGGGTTCAGTCATTATCTCTTAAATCTCTTGTTATATATACTTCATCTGTTGAGTCTTAAACTTGGGACATCTTATCTTGCCCTAAATAGAGAGTATTTAAAATTTCCTGGTTGAGACCAGGGATTTGCTCAGTACCAAATCTCCTTAACATTGATATTGATGCTATGTCCTTGTCTTCAACTTTTAAAATCTCCTTGATCCTGACCACTTAACTTAAAGATCACTACCTTGGTGATCCTGAGAACAGGATTGTGCCAGATTTTTTTCTCTATTGCTAACTCTGAGCCTGCTTTTTGCAGCATAGATATGTTCTACTAGTTTTCCAGCTATGTTTCCAAAAGCCTCAGCTTCTCATTTACCAGTAGCCAATTGAATACAGCTCTGATATTATATTCCTCTTAAATAATTTACTGTGTTGAAAGATGTGTGAACAGATGACAAATATCACATCATGAACAATTTGATGCAGACTCTTTAGAACCCAGAAATGACTTCCAGGAATAATGATTAACCCAGCTATATCTTTTAAAACTATTTTGTTCTCAAGGCATAAAAATGATGTTCTTGTCCTAAACACTAGAAGTATCTTCAGTGACTGTGCATTTTGTCAAGATGAGTGATCAGAAAGAAAGACATAATTTCTTTTAGCCTAGCTCACCTTTTTCTGTATTTCATAACTTGGTATCCAAATCCACCAAGAGAATCTTTTGAAACCACAAAATAGCTAGCTTCCACTATATGTTTTTGCAGCAAATATGTAAAACTAGGCAGTCTCCTCAATGGGAAAATCAGTCATGTAGAAGGGATTTATATTTTAATGTACACTATATCTCAAAAATACTTTAACTCTTGGGAAGTTGGTTACCTTATTTATTAGTTTAATGATACCAAGGTATCTCATAGGATTATTCTGAGTATAAAATAAGATACAGTATATTTGCCAGACTCTCATATGCCAAAGGCTGTGTGTGCCTTTATATTGCCCACAGTTCAATGCTCCTTCATATATTTATGTTTATAAACTGTATTTTGATGTAGTCTTCAAATTGGGCAGCAAGTGACACTTCCCAATAATGAAAACTGATATGCATATTGCATTCACTCACACATCACAGGCATTGGATCCTGAAATAGCAGCTCTGACACTTTTACAGAGCATACTGTACAGGTGGGTCCCCATTGTTCCCTACAGAAAATCCTCACAGTTGTAGCTGACTACACACACAATTTTTGACCCAATAATTGCTTAGCAGTTTTTACAGAATATAGTGCATTTTGAACAGAAAAGAATAGCATGCCTTGACAGAGTTCCATCTGTTAAAAAAGGAAGCGTAATCTTAATTAAAATGCTATTTCTGCATTAAAAAAAGTCTTATTCTGGTGAAGTGATTTCCAATTCTATTCTTTAGGGCATTCAGTTAAAACAGTTGGAAATTGTTTATGTGTTATAAACATTTCTGAAACAACTAACAGTTTTGAATATGCTGTGCTCAAAGCCAGTATAAAAATATAGGATATTGAACAAAATTCCATGCTTATGATTTAATTATATACGTGGGACTAGAAAGTGAGTATATAAATGATTGGCATTTGCCAATGATATCTGAGTTCATCATGGCTGAGTCATGTAGTGATGAAGTCTATTACTTAACTATTCTTTACTTTCTCTAGAGACTCTATAACATGTTCGGTTTGAAATAAGAACTCTGAATCCATACAGTATGCTATATGGTGATAATTTCATAAATGTGAGAATATGTGTATCAAATGACCAAATGAGTATGTCTCTGTGTAAGACATGCTACACTGATAGAAACATACCAAAAATGAAAAAAATCAATTAATGTTCCTTTGCTATCATATAATAAAAATGGAAACGTTGTATCATGAGTTCTATCTACCTCAGAAAGGCAATTTTAAATGAAATAAAGGAAAGGGAGCCTATTTTCCCCAATTATTCTAGCTGCTTTGACTCTTTAAAAATCACTAGATAACAATTACTTTTAACATCATTTAGGGAAAGGTTTAGTGATGAATCAGTTAAATAAAGAAAATTCTTGAACAGATCAGCAAGAAAATAGAAAATACATTGGCTTAGTTCACTGGTAGTTACCTTTTATTTAATTCCCTTTATTGAACATTATCATTTAAGCATAATTTGTTTTTATAGATTTTAGTTGACAACAGACTTAAGTAAAATGAATGTAACAGTTACTTATCAAATAAATTTCTCAATCAAAAATTTGGTCTTCTGGTAAATGAGGAGTTTATCTTCTATGAATGGAGAATATTATCAGAATAAACTTTGGGAAGTAGTCCAAAAATTTACAGGTGTAGTATTTTTGGATAAAATACTGAAACATATAGGTAAACTCATTAAGTAATTTGTTTATTTAATCAACTATCCTTTGAAGATCTAAAAATGTAAAATGACGTCCAATAACAATAAAGTCAAGCTACAAAACACATTTTCTACACACAGGCTTGTGGGGTCAAGCAAGGTTTATTTTGTTGTCTGAGTTCTCCTCAGCTCATAACAGACTAGTACGATATATGAGCACATAGACTATAAATTTGACTTGTTAGTGTATCCTTTGAGTCTTTCAACCTTGGTTTAAAAAATCTTCAAATATTGAATAAGACATACACCTTGTCACTCCTAAAATATTTTTAGTATGTTTTACATTACCCATTTTATGACAATTGTCACAAAGCCAGAATTCATATTTAAAAATTACTAACATGCATTTATGTAAGCAGAGCTCATTTCATATAGGATACCATGATAGCAGTTGCAAATAAAAAAGAATGGAATGCCCCAGGAGTGAGTTGCTTGTTTGACATCAGTATACATTTTGTTAGTAATTGTATTTGGAATGTGATCATAACAGATAGAGTGGAGGCTAAAGCTCCTATCTCCTTTAAATTGACTTTGGCAATTACATCCCTGGTATATACTGTTTATCTCTCCTCTATCCAGTATAAAAATCACATCTGTCAGGAAATACGGACTTTTTATGCAATCATTTATTGATTCATGACCGTAGGAAAGCCATAGAAATAAAAAATCAGAGAATAATACATGGTTACATAGTAAAGTGTGAGCACCATGCAGAGATAAAGAGAAAATTTATATTAGCATTGAAATACAGAGGAAATATCTTTGTACTTCACATTAAAGTTATTAAGGATTTGACTAAGGATGGAATATGGTAATAATTAAAAATTTAAATATATTACAAATTTAAAAGTCTGTATGTGTATAATATGCATGTTCAGTTGAAAATACATTAGTAAAAATTAATGATTTCAGGTTTTTAAAAAAATTTAATCATATTTGAAAAGTTATCTCCTGTTTATCTAATTATGCGTTTTTCCATAGTTGTTATTTATGTCCCTGGAGGTATTTTAGTTGAACTTTATGAGGTGGGAATATATGGACTGCGTGTTTCCTATTTATCTTTATAGACCTATTTATTGTCTAATTTTATCCTAGCACATGGCAAGGATTTCATTTTAAATTTTCAGAAAAATTCAATTATTTTGTATTAGTAAATGAATGAGAGAAAATACTCAATTTTGAGAAAAGATTTTTAAAATGTCAGTTGTCATAAATAAGCTGAATATGCCATTTGCAGTTGCTCTTAGTAAGTAGACTAAATTACTAGCTTAAACTTCAGGCTCCCTCTTTTTGGCCCTTTGACTAATTTCATGAACAAATTCAGTTTTTTTTTAGTTTAATTTTATTTATTTAAAAAATCTTAAAACACATCTTAAATGTTCAGTCTTAATGTCAGGGGAACCTTCAGACTGATCTAAAAGAAAGAAGAGGCTTTTCCAAACAATGCTCAAACAACCGCCTGAAGAGAAATATTAACCAGCTTTCACCAAAATTCTATCTGAAGCCATGAACTTTTATCAAAGCATCTTTTTGCTTAAGAGGTAGTATATAGTCAAACGTAGTATATACTTCCTCACACTGTATCATAAAATTCCTTTCCATTCTATCACTTAAACTCCCAATCCTATTTTCATCTGGCATAGAAAATGTGTAACCTCTCCACAATTGACAAAACATAATATATCATTGTATCTGATATCAGTTAAACAAATCCTAAGACATAGGTTGAAGACATTTTTGTATTTCAATTTATAGAAACTAAAAACTAAGGTATTTATTTTCCATGAATTAATCATGATCCTTTCAAATAATGCCTTTCAATCTTGATTTCTTTGCTGTGATTTTTGGGTGAGGGTAATATTGAGGTATAACTCCTTATTTACGCCTCCTTTTCACTCATCTTCCCCAAAGGTTTCATTTGAAGCCTCAAGGACAGTTAATTTCAAGTTTACCATTCAATGCTGGTCTTCATCCCAAATGATGGTCTTTTGTTACCCAGCCTTTCTCAGATTTTTATTCCTTGACCATCCTATTTTTGCATTTATGCTCTCAAGGCTCATTCTTTCTTAGATCTACTCCCTCCATAATGTTTTCATGGTGCTCCAGGAATCTTTCTATTGCCACAAGCTCCCAAGCATCATTACGTAAACTTCCATACCCTACGGAAGAACAGTACATCCTAGTTTCATTCCTTTCCCTGTAGATTGCTCAAGTGGAGGCTGATCAAAGATCTGGGAGATGACACTGACATTCCCTTGGGTCTCCAAGGCTACTTTCAAGTGATTACTCTTCTTCTCTAGCACAAAGTCCCTTATTTCTGTGAGGTTTATGCCATATGGATACTTTTTCATCCTTTTTGTCTTTCTTTACCAAGCTCTAGGCAAATTCTTCATTTTGCTGAGGACTATGACAACTAGTTCAAATTTTAATTATGACTCAGACTCAAATCATTCAAAATTTTAACCCTCTAGTTTTTAAATTTTATTTTTATTACTTTTACATACAACCTCAATTTGCAAGCTATAATCAGATATTTTCATGATTGCTTTCAATTTTGCTACTTTTTGTTACACTCCTATATTCAATGCTTTGATATTTTTACTGTTCTTTCTATTATTCTTTCATGACTTTGTTCTCATGGTAGTCTTTTAAAATTTATCATAGAGATGTTTGATAGTAGACTTGGCCTTATCAATGTATAAATTCATCCTCATTTTTAAAAATGACAGATAAAATGGATGTATTTACCTTTTGACATAGGCATACATTGTAGAATGACTAACTCTAGCTAATTAACATATGCATTACCTCAGATAGCTATCATTTTTGTGGTGTGAACACTTTATATCTACTCTCTTGGTACTTTCAAGAATACAATAGAATTATTAACTGTAGTCACCATGTTGTATAATAGACCTCTTGAACTTATTCCTAAAAAGAATCTGCACAGCAAAGGAGACAATCAACAGTGAAGAGACAACCTACCTACAAAATGAAAAAAATACCCCTGAAAACTATACATTTGATGACGGGTTAATATCCAAAATATATAAGGAACTCAAACAACTCAATAGCAACAAAACAACTCAATTTTAAAAATGGGCAAAAGACCTTAATAGACGTTTATTAAAAAGAGACATACAAATGCCCAACATCCTCATTATTTAGAGGGAATCCTTAGAAAAAAGTAATAATTTTGTAAAGGGCATAATTAAGCAAACAACCACTTAAATTTGTCTTTGATTTAATAAAAAAAAAAAGCACACGCATTCTAGCAGACACCGTCAGTGCTGTGTCCAAATGCCCTCGGATTTTTTGTTTTTTTTTGAAGGAATCAATATTTATTAGGTTTATACTGTAAAGGAGACACTTGGCATAATGGTCTCCTTATTCTTCACAATAATCCTTTAAGTACTCTATCTCTATTTTTTAATTATTATACCTTAAGTTATGGGATATATATGCAGAACGTGCAGTTTTGTTACATAGGTATACACGTTCTATGGTGGTTTGCTGCACCCATCAACCTGTCATCTACATTAGGTATTTCTCCTAATGCTATCCCTCCCCTAGCCCCCACCCCCAGTCGGCCTTGGTGTGGGATGTTTCCCTCCCTGTGTCAGTATGTTCTCATTGTTCAACTCCCACTTATGAGTGAGAACATGCAGTGTTTTGTTTTCTGTTCCTCTGTTAGTTTGCTGAGAATGATGGTTTCCAGCTTCATCCATGTCCCTGCAAAGGACATGAACTCATTCTTTTTATAGCTGTATCATATTCCATGGTATATATGTGCCACATTTTCTTTATCCAGTCTATCATTGATGGGCATTTGGATTGGTTCCAAGTCTTTGCTATTGTTAACAGTGCTGCAGTAAACATACCTGTGCGTGTGTCTTTATAGTAGAATGATGTATAATCCTTGGGTATATACCCAGTAATGGGATCGCTGGGTCAAATGATATTTCTGGTTCCAGATCCTTGAGGAATTGCCACACTGTCTTCCACAATGGTTGAACTAATTTACACTCTCACCAACAGTGTAAAAGCATTCCTATTTCTCCACATCCTCTCCAGCATCTGTTGTTTCCTGACTAATGATTGCCTTTCTAACTGACGTGAGATGGTATCTCATTGTGGTTTTGGTTTGCATTTCTTTAATGACCAGTGATGATGAACTTTTTTTCATATGTTTGTTGACTGCATAAATGTCTTCTTTTGAGAAGTGTCTGTTCATATCCTTCACCCACTTTTTGATGGAGTTGTTTTTTTCTTGTAAATTTGCTTAAGTTCCTTGTAGATTCTGGATATTATCCTTTTGTCAAATGGATAGATTGCAAAAATTTTCTCCTGTTCTGTAGGTTGCCTGTTCACTCTGATGATAGTTTCTTTTGCTGTGCAGAAGCTCTTTGGTTTAATTAGATCTCATTGCCCAAAATCTCTTTAAGCTGATAAGCAACTTCAGCAAACTCTCAGGATACAAAATCAGTGTGCAAAAATCACAAGCATTCCTATAACCAATAACAGACAGACAGCCAAATCATGATTGAACTCCTATTCACAATTGCTACAAAGAGAATAAAATACCTACGAATACAGCTTACAAAGGATTCTATTCTTATATGTGTCAAAATATTTGGTAGAGAAAAACATATTCAGAGAAAGATCTTGTGCCCACAACCTTTGGTATGCCAGCAAATAGAACGTCTCCACATTATGACAATTACTAGCATCTTATAATTTTAGATAAATACACAACTTCAGAATTAAGTTGTACTCTAAATGTTATATGTTATGTAGCAAACATTAGTTCATAGTATTTAATACTACAACCTATAGAAAAACAAGAATGATTTTTGCAAAAGAACCATCATTTTCAGTTTGAAAGGAACTTCAGGCCAGCTTCTATGCGCCTGTCTCTCCTGTTCAACGAGTGCACAGCAGCCTAAACTTTTCATGGTTATGAAGTTGTTGAATTATCATGAAGCGAAGAAACACAAGGAGGTGATGCTAGATTAAAATCCTTTTGTTATTTAAATATGTATTTCAATAAAATATTTAAACAATTCTATCTTTACATATACATTAACAAAAGCCTTTACATTTAGTGTATATTTTTCTCTATTGAAATACAGTATACATGAGGTAAATTAAGTGTTTCATTAATACTCAGTTCAATAGATTTTTATATACCATACACAATCAAATAACAGCACTTAGATCAAGAAACACAACACTGGCAGCAGCCTAAGCTCTCTTCAGCCTCCTCTCACTCACTACTCTACTGGGATTGGTTTGTTTTTGTGCATAATAAATATGGAATAATAAAGTCTGAGCTCTTTTCATGTCTGGCCTGTTTTGCTTAAAGTTATATATATAAGACTCCTTCACACTCTTGCACACAGTTGAAGTCTATCCTCATTGCTATGGAGTATTCTATTATGTGAACATATCACTAGTGATTTATGCTACTATTGGACACTTGGGTTGTTTCCATATTTTGACTATTAAAATGATGCTATTACGGCCATGATAGTTCATGTTTTTTGGGGTCAAAGGGCAGGTATAATTTGGCTTTAGGAGACCTGCCAAATGGTTTTCCAAAGTGGTTGAATGATACAACGTTCTTTTGCAAGTAACATTCTTGCAAAAGTTTGTTACTATTTTTCTTCTTAGTCTTTTGATATATTTCATTACAAATTAACTTTATTTTCAAGATGACTCATGAATTTGAATATCTTTACGTATTTATTGCTTATTTAAATTAAAATTTCATACATTTGAAGCAAAAATAATTTGGTATAAATACACATAATACACAGAGTTAAGATTCCTACTTTAAGACAGTAATATTTTTCTGACTATCTTATTTTTTTTCTTTTAAATGCACTTTATTTTTTTAGAGCAGTTTTAGGTTCACAGAAAGACTGAGCAGAAAGTACAGAGTTTCCACATATCGCCTACCCCCACACTCTCGCAGCCTCCTTCACTATCAACATCCTGCCCCAGAGTGGTGCATTTGTTACAGCTGATGAACCTACAATGCCACGTCTTCACCCAAACTCCATAGTTTACATTAGGATTTACTTCCTGTGATTACATTAGGGTTTACTTCCTGTGATGCACATTCCATTAGTTTTGACAATTGTGTAATAACTTATACATACGATTACAGTATCATACAGAATAGTTTCGCTGCCCTAAATGCCTCTATATTTTACCTATTCATCCCTCCCTCTCCTGGCAACCACTGATATCTCCCTCTCTCTCTCTCTCTCTGTCTATATATATCTATATATATATGTATATATATATAGATATATAGATATAGATAGATTTTTAATGTATTTACCCATATTTATGTATTTACCAAATTTATATATTTACCCATTATATATAGAGAGATAGAATTTCAAATTTTTATGTTTACCCATATTTAAATTTTTATGTATTTACCCATATTTATATATTTACCAAATTTATATATTTACCCATATATATAGAGAGAGAAATATGTATTTACCCATATTTAAATTTTTATGTATTTACCCATATTTATATATTTACCAAATTTATATATTTACCCATATATATAGAGAGAGAGGGAGAGAGAGAGAATTTTGAATTTTAGCTCCATTGTTGTTGTCCACACTTTATTCATGTTTTTTTAAATTTCAGAGTACATGTGCAGGATGTGCAGGTTTGTTACATAGGTAAATATGTGCCATGGTGGTTTGCTGCACTTATCAATCCATCACCTAGATATTCAGCCTGGCATGCATTAGCTATTTTTCCTGATGCTCTACCCCACCCTCTGCCCTCCCCTGAGAGGTCCCAATGTGTGTTGTTCCCCTCCCTGTGTCCATGTGTCCTCATTGTTCAGCTCTCACTTATAAATTAGAACATGCAGTGTTTGGTTTTCCGTTCCTGTGTTAGTTTGCCAAGGATAATGACTTCTGGCTTCATCCATGTTCCTGCAAAGTACGTTATCTCCTTCCTTTTTACAGCTGCATAGTATCCCATGGTGCATATGTACCACATTTTCTTTATCCAGTCTATCATTGTTGGGCATTTGGGTTGATTTCATGTCTTTGCTATTTTGAATAGTGCTGCAACAAACATACATGTGCATGTACCTTTTTAATGGAATGATTTATATTCCTTTGGGTATATACACAGTAATATGATTGCTGAGTCAAATGATATTTCTGGTTCTAAATCTTTGAGGAATTGCCAAACTGTCTTCCACAATGATTGAGCTAATTTACATTCTCGTCAATAGTGTAAAAGTGTTCCTGTTTCTCCACAACCTCACCAGCATCTGTTATTTCTTGACTTTAATAATCACCATTTTGTCTGGCATGAGACGGTATCTCGCCAAGGTACCATATTTCGCATTTCTCTAATGATCAGTGATGTTGAGCTTTTTTTCATATGTTGCTTGGCTGCATGTATCTCTTCTTTTGAGAAGTGTCTATTTATGTCCTTTGCCCACTTTTTAATGGGTTTAGTTTTCTTGTAAATTTGCTTAAGTTCCTTGTAGATTCTGGATGTTAGATCTTTGTCAGGTGGATTGATTGCAAAAATATTCTCCCATTCTGTAGGTTGTCTGTTTGCTCTGATGATAGTTTCTTTTGCTGTGCGGAAGCTTTTTAGTTTAATTAGATCCCATTTGTCAATTTTTGCTTTTGTTGCAATTGCTTTTGGCGATTTCAACATAAAATCTTTGCCCATGCCTTTGTCCTGAAGGGTATTGCCTTGATATTCTTCTAGGATTTTCCTTTTCCAGAATGTCATACAGGTGAAATCCTATACTATGTAGTCTTCAGATTGGCTTCTTTCACTTAGTAATATGCATTGAAGATTTCCCCATTTTTTTATGACTTGATAGCTAATTTCTTTTTAGCACTGAATAATATCCTGTTCTCTGGATATATCATACTTTATTTAACCATTCCCCTGCTGACTGAAGGATGTCTTGTTTGCTTCCAAGTTTTGGTGCCTATGAATAAGGATGCTACAAACATTCATGCACAGGTTTTTGTGTGAATGTAAGTTTTCAACCTATTTGGGTAAATAGTAAGGAATGTGATTGCTGGATCATATATAAAGAATATGTTTAGTTTTCTAAGAAATTGTCAAACTGTGTTCCAAAGTTTCTGTACTATTTTGCATTCCCACCAGCAATGAATAAGAATTTCTGTTGCTGTACACCCTTTCCAGCATTTGGTATTGTCGGTGTTCTGGATTTTGGTAATTCTAACAGGCATGTAGTAGATATCATTGTCTTAATTTGCATTTCACTACTGTCATAGATGTTTAGCAACTTTTCATATGCTTATTGATTATTCATTTATCTTCTTTGGTGAGGTATCTATTCAAGCCTTTTGGGCTAATTTTTAATTGGACTATTTATTTACTTATTGTTGAGCTTTAATTGTTCTTTGTATATTTTGAATAAAAGTCCTTAACCTGATGTGTCTTTTATAAATATTTTCTTCCCATCTGTGGCTTTTCTTCTTATTCCTTTGCCAGTGTCTTTTACAGAATACAAGTTTTTAATTTTAATGAAGTCCAGAGTATCAATTATTTATTTCATAGATCATGCCTTTGGTCCTAAAAGTCATTGCCATGTCCCAAATTATCTCTATTTTCTCCTATGTTACTTTCTAGGAATTATAGTTTTGCATTTTTTTTTTTCCGAGACGGCGTCTCACTCTGTTGCCCAGGCTGGAGTGCAGTGGCGCGATCTCAGCTCACTGCAAGTTCTGCCTCCTGGGTTCAAGTGATTCTTCTGCCTCAGCATCGAGTAGCTGGGATTACAGGTGTGTGCCACCAGGCCAAACTATTTTTTTTTTTTGTATTTTAGTATTTTTGTATTTTCAGCATGTTGGTCAAGCTGGTCTCAAACTCCTGACCTCAGGTGATCCACCTGCCTTGGCCTCCCAAAGTTCTGGGATTACAGGCATGAGCCACCATGTCCAGCCTAGTTTTACATTTTAAATTTAGGTCTGGATCCATTGTGAGTTAATTTTTATGAAAGGTATAAGGTCTATGTCTAGATTTATTGTTTTGCATGTGGATATACAGTTCCAACTCTATTATTGAAAAGACTATATTTTCTCCATTAGATTGCTTTTGCTTCTTTTTCAAAGATCAGTTAACTATATTTATGTGGATCTATTTCTGGGCTTTCTGTTTTCCACTGACCAATTCCTTCTTTCACCAATACCACACTGTAGCTTTATAGTCTTGAAGTCTGTTAGTGTCAGTCCTCTGACTTTGTTCTTCTTCAATATTGTGTTGGCTATTCTGGGTCTTTTGCTTCTTCTGTGAATTTTAAAATCAGATTATTAATATCCACAAAATAACTTGCTAGGATTTTGACTGAGATCACATTGAATTGATAGATAAAGTTAGGAAGAACTAACATCTCGAGAATATTCAGTATTTTTATTCATGAACATTTATTTATTTAGTTCTTCTTTTATTACTTTCATTTATTTTTAACAAGACATTTGATTAAAACTACTTCAATAATTAATATTATAAAGATGAAGTGAAATAAGCATTCCTCTGAGAAATGTTAAGTATAAACATAATGAATGTGCAAATATATATTTTTATTACATCAACTGTGACAGAATTGGTTAAAGTTGTATTTGACTATGTATAACAGAGTTTGTGATACTCAGGACTTGGTTTTCTCATAACCTTAATATTTCAGAGCCACATGGAATTGTGACAAATCACAATCACTGCATTTGCCACAAGACAATTTTAGCTCCATTGTTGTTTTCCATTGTTGACCATTCCACGAAGAATGGTCAAGCCATTGGGGTACTCTGGATAAAAAAAAAAAAAAATCAGATTTTCTGGACGTTTCTATTGTGTTTTAAATAGTATCTTCCTAATTAATAGTGATTTTTAAAAAATTTTTCTTGCAAGCTTACAGCATACAATGATAAATCATGAATATCACATTAGAAAACACTTTCATTGTTTTGCCCAGTGTTCCTTTGTTTTATTCTTTTTAATCACATTAGAAATTATTGTATACAATAAAAAGAGATAAAACTATATAGAGATCTCTTCCATATGAGTTTAAACTTTTGTGACTCTGTTTAGAGATACAAAATTGAATTTATTCTTGACCAGAAGTAACATCTATCTATTTCTTCTTGTTTTTACATACATTTTATACATCTGATTATTATTCTTTCTTATAGATGAATAAATTGAAACTGAGAGAAGTTAAAAGCAAGCTGTCTTAACACAACTGGTAAACCTTAGAGCTAGGTTTGGAGTCCAAGCCTGCTAACTCCCAAGCCCAAGCCTTTAATTCTGCACTGCTTCCTGGACCAGAAACTTGAATTCTTTTAGTGAAATGGGAATGTGAGTGAATATCAGCCAGTGATGAAAGGCTACTTGCTTTGTTTATTCAATGAATATATTTAACATTAGGAAAAAACAAACAAACAAACAAAAAACAACAACCCAGATAGCAAAATTATTCCTGAAGTGATCAAAGTTTTTCTGTAACCCAGATTAAGAGCCATTTTTACATCTTTACAATATGATACGATATCGCTCATAGCCTTTATTCTCCACTAGCAACACAGGTGTGGGAGTCAACATGGGTTCAAATCAGAGCTGTGGAATATTGGATAAATTATCTAACATCTCTGAAGTGCCTTATCTAAGAAAATGTGTGGAATAATAATATTTAATAGGATTGTGAAAATATAAATAAGATAAATATACAGTTTTTGGCACCCAAAAAACATTTGAATAATTTCAGTCTCCTATTCCCTGCAAAAGTAGTATGTATTATATTTTAAATACAATAAAATCAATTATTTGAGAAATTTAGATGGGCATCTGTAAACATTACATTACGATTGGGAATCATTGGCCTGCAAAAACAATATATTTGATAGATTCAGTTAAAAAAGTGTTTTGGGCCAGGCACGGTGGCTCACGCCTGTAATCCCAGCACTTTGGGAAGCCGAGGTGGGCAGATCACAAGGTGAGGAGTTCAAGACCAGCCTGGCCAATATGGTGAAACCCCATCTCTACTAAAAATGTGAAAATTAGCTGGGCGTGGTGGCGTGGGCCTGTAGTCCCAGCTACTCGGGAGGCTGAGGCAGAAAAATCGCTTGAACCTGGGAGGCGGAGGTTGCAGTGAGCCGAGATCGTGCCACTGCACTCTATACTGGGTGCCAGAGTGGGACTCCATCTCAAAAAAAGAAAAAAAAGGTATTTTGATGTCAGTTGAATCAGGAAATTAACTAAATGGTTAGAATTTTACTTTCCATTTTTATCGTTTAGAAACAACACTTAACCAAATACATTTTAGAAAATTTGATTCTGTCACACAGGACAAAATCTTGATAGTATGCACAGGCAGATACTCTACCCAGTTATGTCACAAAACATTCTTGATACAATTTGAAAATTCTTTCTGAGTCAGCATGCTCATCAAGGTATTATATAACTTAAAAACTCACTAGGATTATGTGATAAAAGCCTTAGACATTGACTGTTTTTGTTACTTCACTTTGGTTGAGCTACACAGATAATTTATTTTCTTCTCACTCAAAACTTGACCTAAATGTCTTTACACATGTTCATTGCAATGAAGAGATGTGAAGAACTTACTATATTTAATTAAGTCTACTGCTATACTGAAATAACGTAAATTAAATAATATTATAGGTATTTATTGAAGTTGGACGTATTAGTTTTTCTAAGAATAATTTTTAATGCTTCCTTTGATGTGAAGTAACATGTTTTTACATTTTGGTAGGAAACAGAACAGATGGTTATTCTTTCTCTGGTTGATTTTCCCTTTGGTACCTTGACTCTGTCCTTGAAAAGAGCTTGCATTTTTCCCCCTTGCCACCTCATAATAACAATTGCAAGTCCACAAAATCTGGAGAGAATATATTGATAGAAAACACGAGAAAAGGGATAAACTGAGTAAAATACATAAGACTTTAAAAATGACATTCAGATTATTTTCTGGTCAACATGACACCTGTATTTCCCAAGATATCTCTGATTATTTCTTTGAAATTCATATTATTAAACAAAAATTCAAAATCATATATAAAAGTTGTTCTGTTCAAAGTTAAATCAGAAATTGGATTTGCCATTTATTCCCTTTTATTAGATATCATTTTCTCCTAATAACTGAAACATAGGCTTCTGATATACACTTATCCCTTTGCAATATTTTCTAAATACTGAGAGAAAAATAATTTTATATATGTCACTTAATATTTTCAAATGTCAGTATAAATAATTATTATATTTTCATGGGAAAGATGGGTTGACCATTTTCACCTTAATTAGCCAGCCAGGACAATTTTACTTGACTTTTAATTTTAGCTGACTTAATAAGTCAAGATAGTAAAAAAAAAAATCGACATATGTATTTATAATAAAAGTAGTATGATAACACTAACTTTTAAAACTTCGTATCAAAAAATTTAAAGGTCTCGAAAATTGCAGATTTGGGTTCTTGATTAGATTAAATTTCAAAGAACTCTAGAACCCAACTACATTAATTTCATTGCAACTACCACCTCACCTTTTCAATGTACATATGTCTCTGATGAAAGACCATTGTTCCATCAGGTACAGATCAGTGCTTCTTCTGTCTCAAACTTATTTAATCTTAAAATAAAACTCAGAAATGCAGATAGTGTGGCCAAAATGCCCTTAGCTTATTGACATTCCCAGTGGAACTCTACTGTTGAAATTATTTCTTAGCTAACTCTTGATATATTCTGCAAACCATGAAAATATGTTGAGAAGTGGTCTGTGCACAGCAGAGAAAGGGGAGATACAGCTTACTGGAATTACTTTAATGACAGGTGACTGCAGGAGCTTGGCACAGTGGAATTTTGATGTGCACAAAAATAGATCTGATGTGCACATTATTCCTAAATACTGCTTCTTTATGAAAAATGATATCAGATCATGTTTCTAGGAATGTATATATATATAAGTGAACAGAATAATGATTCCACACAGCTACAGGGAATTCTTGCAATATATGTCAGGAAATAACTGTTACAGAGCTTTAAGCAATTAAGAGATTTATTTTCTAAGGTAAGTGTTTTTCTTTTCTAGTCAGATCAGACATATTAAAAATGAGGTTGGCAGCATGTTCATTCATATGTACTTTATGTGTACTTGTTATGCATGGTCCCATAAAAATATGCATTGGGGAAAGACATTACAACCTCAATTCCTTGTAAAGACAGCAGGACTTAATGGGCCAGAAAGCAGGTGTGCAATCCAAGGAGAAATTGCTCTGTAACAGTGCAGTACCGCGGTTGGGCAGAATCGCGGTTTTGTTTTCCTTTCTGATATCATTGCAAGCCTATTTCGATGCTTTCTATAAAATTATGCCTAATGATCCACATTTTGAGCTGTGTCAGAATATGTTACTAACAATATATCAAGCCACTGCCGTAGCCAGTGAAGCTTTTTTGTAATACTCAGTGTAGGAAGGCAGGAGTAATTATAGCAGAACTAACTCTGTAGTGCTATATGTGGTATGTTTTAAAAGGTATTATATTACTCCCAGTATATACCAGTATTTAGAAATGTATTATGCGCTTGTAGAGTTTTTTTTTTTTTTTTTTTTTTTTTTTTTTTTTTTTTTGGGGAAATGCAGAAATCACCCGTCTTCTGCGTCACTCACGCTGGGGGCTGTAGACTGGAGCTGTTCCTATTCGGCCATCTTGGCTCCACCCCCGCTTGTAGAGTTTCAAGTACGATTTAAGATATGTCCATTGAAAATAATTTTTTATTACTTGGGAAAACTGTATTTTCAGAAATACAATGCCTTTCATATTTCTAGTGGTTGAAAAATTTAAGATTGTTTTAAATAAAAAATATTATTATTCTGTATCCAATGTGTGAACATAAAAACATTACAATTAAGAACAGGTTTTAATAGTTACACGATGTTTATGAAAATAGTATGGCTATAATGTTATGGGAAAAATTTCCAGAAGTAACAGGTTAAACTCAGTAGCATTACTTTATTACTATACATTTTAATTTTGCTGGCCAAACTCCAGAAAACTCTAATAATCAGAACAATGCAAGTTTAAACAATAGAATGTCCTTTTAAACAAAAATTCTGGCAATTAAAACAATTTGTAATAAACAATGTCAATGAAGGTGTGCTGCTGAAATAAAAAATGTTAATTTTTGACATAGCTACTGGGAGAAAGATACCTCAGTATGGTTTTCTCTGGAGGGAAATTTGACAAGCAAAATTTCTATAATATTATTACTTTTTACTAAATCAATAAACTTTAACAATTACCCTGAAAAAAATTAAAAATGCATGTGAAGATTTAATTTCAAAAATGCAAATCACCATGCTATTTATACATTTACAAATGGAAAGAACTTAAGTGCCCCATAACTGGGGCCTGGTGAAACAAATTGTGGTATATTCATCTACTGGATATTCTACAATCATCAAACTTGCATTTTACAGCACATTAATATGATACTGGAAAATAGTTATTATTGTACATGCAATAGATATATAAGCAAGTAAGAATCACTATATCACCACATTAATCTATATATGTATTAATGGATAAAAAGCGTATAGTAAATATTCAGATTAGTTACATTTAAGGATTAAAGTTAAGAATGTCATTTTATTGTGTTTATTATTTTTGAGTGTTCAAAATTCTACAGTGAATTTATATCGCTTTTACAATAAGAAAAATCTTATTTAAAAATTTAAAGACATGAAAGTAATCAATAGTAATAATAGTAGTAATTATTTTTCTAAAACTTAAACCTACATTAACTTATCAAAATTTCGTGATGAAGCTCAATGACCTTTATGAACATTCAAATAAGTTTACACAAATAGCATAAGTAAATAGTAGTCTTCTATTAATACCTCCCACTCTTTTCATGAAGCCATCTTCGACCCCTTAACCCTTAATTAGTTGTCTCTTCTATGTCTTCTAACACTCTTTTATGTACTCCTACCTTGGTGTTTGACACAGTCTACTGAAATTGAACCATTTCTAGTAAGCCTTTCCAACTAAGCCATTAGCTTCTAAAGGGCAGGGATCATGTAATGTATGCTGTTGGTTTTTCAAAAAAATCTCAGTGCGTAGAGCATAGCATCTACTTAAAACCACATGCTGAATAAATAATTATTGCAATGGCACTAAATAATTTTTGAATTAGTTTTGCTAATAGGGATTTTGAATATCTCGTTTCATTGCCATTGTCTTGAAGAAAACATTTGGAAGTCCTGAGAAAGAGAGAAGAAAAAAGGGCAGCAATCAAAGAGAACTACCAATGACCAAGGTTTATTTTCTTTTTTTTTGCATTTTTTTTATTATTATTATACTTTAAGTTTTAGGGTACATGTGCACAATGTGCAGGTTAGTTACATATGTATACATGTGCCATGCTGGTGTGCTGCACCCTTTAACTTGTCATTTAGCATTAGGTATATCTCCTAATGCTATCCCTCCCCCCGCCCCACCCCACAACAGTCCCCAGAGTGTGATGTTCCCCTTCCTGTGTCCATGTGTTCTCATTGTTCAATTCCCATCTATGAGTGAGAACATGCAGTGTTTGGTTTTTTGTCCTTGCGATAGTTTACTAAGAATGATGATTTCCAATTTCATCCATGTCCCTACAAAGGACATGAACTCATCCTTTTTTATGGCTGCATAGTATTCCATGGTGTATATGTGCCACATTTTCTTAATCCAGTCTATCATTGTTGGACATTTGTGTTGGTTCCAAGTCTTTGCTATTGTGAATAGTGCCACAATAAACATACGTGTGCATGTGTCTTTATAGCAGCATGATTTATAATCCTTTGGGTATATACCCAGTAATGGGATGGCTGGGTCAAATGGTATTTCTAGTTCTAGATCCCTGAGGAATCGCCACACTGACTTCCACAATGGTTGAACTAGTTTACAGTCCCAGCAACAGTGTAAAAGTGTTCCTATTTCTCCACATCCTCTCCAGCACCTGTTGTTTCCTGACTTTTTAATGATTGCCATTCTAACTGGTGTGAGATGGCATCTCATTGTGGTTTTGATTTGCATTTCTCTGATGGCCAGTGATGATGAGCATTTTTTCATGTGTTTTTTGGCTGCATAAATTCTTCTTTTGAGAAGTGTCTGTTCATATCCTTTGCCCAGTTTTTGATGGGGTTGTTTGTTTTTTTCTTGTAAGTGTGTTTGAGTTCATTGTAGATTCTGGATATTAGCCCTTTGTCAGATGAGTAGGTTGCAAAAATTTTCTCCCATTTTGTAGGTTGCCTGTTCACTCTGATGGTAGTTTCTTTTGCTGTGCAGAAGCTCTTTAATTAGATCCCATTTGTCAATTTTGGCTTTTGTTGCCATTGCTTTTGGTGTTTTAGACATGAAGTCCTTGCCCATACGTATGTCCTGACTGGTAATGCCTAGGTTTTCTTCTAGGGTTTTTATGGTTTTAGGTCTAACGTTTAAGTCTTTAATCCATCTTGAATTAATTTTTGTATAAGGTGCAATGAAGGGATCCAGTTTCAGCTTTCTCCATATGGCTAGCCAGTTTTCCCAGCACCATTTATTAAATAGGGAATCCTTTCCCCATTGCTTGTTTTTCTCAGGTTTGTCAAAGATCAGATAGTTGTAGATATGTGGCGTTATTTCTGAGGGCTCTGTTCTGTTCCATTGATCTATATCTGTGTTTTGGTACAAGTACCATGCTGTTTTGGTTACTGTAGCCTTGTAGTATAGTTTGAAGTCAGGTAGTGTGATGCCTCCAGCTTTGTTCTTTTGCCTTAGGATTGAGTTGGCTGATCAAGGTTTATTTTCTAAATCTGTACATTATGTTTCAGCCACACTGACTCTATTTTAATCCTTAATATATTATCACTTATAATCTAAATAGAAGCAGAGAAAGCATGTGAAAACAATAAACATTAATTTATCATAAAAACCTTCATCAAATTAGGAAGAGAAGAGAAATTCCCCGATTTGACATAGTATATTTACAAAAAGCCTATAATTAACATCATACTTAACAGTGGAAGACTGAACAACATTGTCTTAAGATTAGAGACAAGGCAGGGATATCTACTATTACCAAGCCTATTTATTGTATTGAATATGTTATGTAATAAGACAAGGCAAAAAATCTAAGTATATAGAGATTGAAAAGAAAGAAATAAAACAAATTCTATTCGTAGACATCATAATTGATCACAAAGCAAGTCCTTAAGAATTTACAAAAAAGTTCCTTAGAATAATATGTTTACAACATCTTAGAACACAAAATTAATATATAAAAATCAATTGTAAAACAGTACCATTTAGGAGTGTGACATCAGCAGATGGTAGAACAGGAAGTTATAGCCTTGTTCCCCTAGAGAAAACAAATTTGACAACCATCCATGAATCACAGTATCTTCATGAGTGCTCCAGAATCCAGGTGACAGATTATAAAATCCAGGTGGAGCATAGAGATAAAAGACATACTAAAGAGGCTAGGAAAGACAGTTTCACTTTACTCAATCCCTCCTTCCCAAAACCCTTGCTATGGTTTGAATATTTGTCCCTTCTTTTTTTTTTAAATTTTATTATTATACTTTAAGTTTTAGGGTACATGTGCACAGCATGTGGGTTTGTTACATATGTATACATGTGCCATGCTGGTGTGCTGCACCTATGAACTTGTCATTTAGCATTAGGTATATCTCCTAATGCTATCCCTCCCCCCTCCCCCCACCCCACAACAGTCCCCGGTGTGTGACGTTCCCCTTCCTGTGTCCATGTGTTCTCATTGTTCAATTCCCACCTATGAGTGAGAACATGGGGTGTTTGGTTTTTTGTCCTTGCAATAGTTTGCTGAGAATGATGGTTTCCACTTTCATCCATGTCCCTACAAAGGACATGAACTCATCATTTCTTATGACTGCATAGTATTCTATGGTGTATATGTGCCACGTTTTCTTAATCCAGTCTATCGTTGTTGGACAGTTGTGTTGGTTCCAAGTCTTTGCTATTGTGAATAGTGCCACAATAAACATATGTGTGCATGTGTCTTTATAGCAGCATGATTTATAATCCTTTGGGTATATACCCAGTAATGGGATGGCTGGGTCAAATGGTATTTCTAGTTCTAGATCCCTGAGGAATCGCCACACTGTCTTCCACATGGTTGAACTAGTTTACAGTCCCACCAACAGTGTAAAAGTATTCCTATTTCTCCACATCCTCTCCAGCACCTGTTGTTTCCTGACTTTTTAATGATCACCATTCTAACTGGTGTGAGATGGTATCTCATTGTGGTTTTGATTTGCATTTCTCTGATGGCCAGTGATGATGAGCATTTTTTCATGTGTTTTTTGGCTGCATAAATTCTTCTTTTGAGAAGTGTCTGTTCATGTCCTTTGCCCAGTTTTTGATGGGGTTGTTTGTTTTTTTCTTGTAAATGTGTTTGAGTTCATTGTAGATTCTGGATATTAGCCCTTTGTCAGATGAGTAGGTTGCAAAAATTTTCTCCCGTTCTGTAGGTTGCCTGTTCACTCTGATGGTAGTTTCTTTTGCTGTGCAGAAGCTCTTTAGTTTAATTAGATCCCATTCGTCAATTTTGGCTTTTGTTGCCATTGCTTTTGGTGTTTTAGACACGAAGTCCTTGCCCATGCCTATGCCCTGAATGGTAATGCCTAGGTTTTCTTCTAGGGTTTTTATGGTTTTAGGTTGAACATGTAAGTCTTTAATCCATCTTGAATTAATTTTTGTATAAGGTGTAAGGAAGGAATCCAGTTTCAGCTTTCTACATACAGCTAGCCAGTTTTCCCAGCACCATTTATTAAATAGGGAATCCTTTCCCCATTTCTTGTTTTTCTCAGGTTTGTCAAAGATCAGATAGTTGTAGATATGTGGCATTATTTCTGAGGGCTCTTTTCTGTTCCATTGGTCTATATCTGTGTTTTGGTACCAGTACCATGCTGTTTTGGTTACTGTAGCCTTGTAGTATAGTTTGAAGTCAGGTAGCATGATGCCTCCAGCTTTGTTCTTTTGGCTTAGGATTGATTTGGTGATGCGGTCTCTTTTTTGGTTCCATATGAACTTTAAAGTAGTTTTTTCCAATTCTGTGAAGAAAGTCATTGGTAGCTTGATGGGGATGGCATTGAATCTGTAAATTACCTTGGGCAGTATGGCCATTTTCATGATATTGATTCTTCCTACCCATGAGCATGGAATGTTCTTCCATTTGTTTGTGTCCTCTTTTATTTCATTGAGCAGTGGTTTGTAGTTCTCCTTGAAGAGGTCCTTCACATCCCTTGTAAGTTGGATTCCTAGGTATTTTATTCTCTTTGAAGCAATTGTGAATGGGACTTCACTCATGATTTGGCTCTCTGTTTGTCTATTATTGGTGTATAAGAATGCTTGTGATTTTTGTACATTGATTTTGTATCCTGAGACATTGCTGAAGTTGCTTATCAGCTTAAGGAGATTTTGGGCTGAGACGATGGGGTTTTCTAGATATACAATCATGTCATCTGCAAACAGGGACAATTTGACTTCCTCTTTTCCTAATTGAATACCCTTTATTTCCTTCTCCTGCCTGATTGCCCTGGCCAGAACTTCCAACACTATGTTGAATAGGAGTGATGAGAGAGGGCATCCCTGTCTTGTGCCAGTTTTCAAAGGGAATGCTTCCAGTTTTCGTCCATTGAGTATGATATTGGCTGTGGGTTTGTCATCGATAGCTCTTATTATTTTGAGATACGTCCCATCAATACCTAATTTATTGAGAGTTGTTAGCATGAAGGATTGTTGAATTTTGTCAAAGGCCTTTTCTGCATCTATTGAGATAATCATGTGGTTTTTGTCTTTGGTTCTGTTTATATGCTGGATTACATTTATTGATTTTCGTATGTCGAACCAGCCTTGCATCCCAGGGATGAAGCCCACTTGATCATGGTGGATAAGCTTTTTGATGTGCTGCTGGATTTGGTTTGCCAGTGTTTTATTGAGGATTTTTGCATCAATGTTCATCAAGGATATTGGTCTAAAATTCTCTTTTTTTGTTGTGTCTCTGCCAGTCTTTGGTATCAGGATGATGCTGGCCTCATAAAATGAGTTAGGGAGGATTCCCTCTTTTTCTATTGATTGGAATAGTTTCAGAAGGAATGGTACCAGCTCCTCCTTGTACCTCCGGTAGAATTTGGCTGTGAATCCATCTGGTCCTGGCCTTTTTTTCATTGGTAAGCTATTGGTTATTGCCTCAATTTCAGAGCCTGTTATTGGTCTATTCAGAGATTCAACTTCTTCCTTGTTTAGTCTTGGGAGGATGTATGTGTTGAGGAATTTATCCATATCTTCTATGTTTTCTAGTTTATTTGCATAGAGGTGTTTCTAGTATTCTCTGATGGTAGTTTGTATTTCTGTGGGATTGGTGGTGATATCCCCTTTATCATTTTTTATTGCGTCTATTTGATTCTTCTCTCTTTTCTTCTTTATTAGTCTTGGTAGCGGTCTATCAATTTTGTTGATCTTTCAAAAAACCATCTCCTGGATTCATTAATTTTTTGAAGAGTTTTTTGTGTCTCTATTTCCTTCAGTTCTGCTCTGATCTTAGTTATTTCTTGCCTTCTGCTAGCTTTTGAATGTGTTTGCTCTTGCTTTTCTGGTTCTTTTAATTGTGATGTTAGGGTGTCAATTTTAGATCTTTCCTGCTTTCTCTTGTGGGCATTTAGTGCTATAAATTTCCCTCTACACACTGCTTTAAATGTATCCCAGAGATTCTGGTATTTTGTGTCTTTGTTCTCATTGGTTTCAAGGAACATCTTTATTTCTGCCTTCATTTCGTTATGTACCCAGTAGTCATTCAGGAGCACGTTGTTCAGTTTCCATGTAGTTGAGTGGTTTTGAGTGAGTTTCTTAATCGTGAATTCTAGTTTGATTGCACTGTGGTCTGAGAGAGAGTTTGTTATAATTTCTGTTCTTTTACATTTGCTGAGGAGAGCTTTACTTCCAACTATGTGGTCAATTTTGGAATAGGTGTGGTGTGGTGCCCCTTCTAAAGCTCATGTTGAAATTTAATCCCCAATGTGACAGTATTAAGTGGTGGAGCCTTAAAGATGTTATTGGGTCAAAGGACTCTGCCCCCATGAATGGATTCATTCATAGATTAATGAATTAATGGGTTGCTATGGGGATAGAACTGATGACATTAGAAGAAGAGGAAGTGAAACCTGAGATAGCACACTCAGCTCCCTAGCCATATGATTCCCTGTATCACCTTGGGACTCTGCAAAGAGTACCTGCCAGCAGGAAGGCCGTCAATAGATATGGTCCCTTGACCTTGGATTTTCCAGTCTTCATAATTTTAAGAAGTAAATGTTATTCATTTATAAATCACCCAGTTTCAGATATTCTGTCATGAGCAACAGAAAATGAACTCAGATAACTGTGCAGTATCAACAAAGATCCCTTCATCCTAGGAATTCTCCCATGGGGGAAAGAGAGTGAAGTGAGCATTTTATCTTGTCATGGACACTGGTCCCAGGCCCAACCTAGTGAATTGAAGTGCCAGGCCCATTCCCATGTGCCAGACTTACCCCAGGGGATCCTGGCACCAGGCCCACCCCTGCAGATCCAAGCTCCAGGACCACCTCCATGGACTCATGTTTCAGGGAACCCAAAAGGAACCAATGCCAGGCATTCACATTCATGGACCCCAGCAGCAGGCCTGCCCTTGTACCCTGCCACTCAGCCTACCCAGAATCTGTGGCTGTGCTGACTGATGAGGGTCTTTGGCTGACAAAGCCAGTCAGTAAAGAATGGAAAAGGTGACTACTTTTTCAAATATACACACATCAAAGCTACAAAAATAATGAAGAATCAGAAACATGACACCACTCAAGGGATAAAAGAAACTTCTAGTAATGAACCCTAAAAATTAGAAATCTATGAACTTCTTGACAAAAAACTCAAAATGATAGAAGTATACAGTTTTTGTATGCCATTAAAGTTGTTACCAGCTCAAACTATACTTTTATAACAAGAAGTTTTGTGCATGTCTATAGGCAGTCACAAAAAAACTGAAAATGGCAATGAGAATATAAAAATAATCAAAATATATTACTACAAAAATCATCAAATCATAAGACAGTAAGAAAGGCAGAAATGAAAAAGGAACTACAAAACACACAGAAAGCAACAAAATGAAGCAGTAAGAACTTACCTGACAATAATTACTTTAAAAATAAATGTATTAAATGGCCGAATCAAAACATGGAGTGACTGAATGGATGAAAAATAGGGATCCAACTACATGCTGTCTACAAGAGACCCACATTAGCTTTAAGCACACACATGGCTAAAGTAAAGGGATGAAAAAGATATTCCATGCAAATGCTAAAGAGTAGAGGTGTCTATATCCATATCAGACAAAATAGACTTGAAGTCAAACACTACCATAAGAGACATAAGGTGAATACCTAATGATAAAGAATAAATTTCACACAAAGATGTAACAATAAAAATGTATATTCATCTAACATCAGAGAACCAAATATACTAAGCAAACACTGACAGATCTGAAGGGAGAAATGGACAGCAATTCAATAATAGTTAAAGACTTCAATACCTCATTTACAATAATTGACAGTCATCCAGTCAGAAAATCAATAAGAAAACATTAAATTTGACATTGTAGACTAAATGATGGACCTAACAAACACATACAAACCATTCAATTTAATAGAAGACAAATACATATTCTTTACAAGTGCACATAGAACATTCTTTAAGATAGAACACATGGTAGGTCTGCTAGGTGTGACAAAAGTTGAATAAAATCATCCCAAGTATCTTTTCTGACAACAAAGGAATAAAACTAGAAATCAGTAACAAGAGGAAAATAGAAAAATTCTCAAATACATGGAAATTAAATTACACATTCTTGAACATCTGTTGAGTCAAAGAAGAAATCAAAAGGGAAATTATAAAAAATCTCAAGATAAATTATAAAAGCACAACATACCTAAAGTTATAGAATGCAGCAAAATAGTACTAAGAGAGTTCATAGCAATAAATGCCTGTATTTAAAAATGGACTTCAAATAAACAAGCTAATTTCACACCTCAATGAACTAGAAAAAGAAATACAACAAATTTAGCAAGAAATAAGAGAAATAGAGAATAGAAAACTAGTAGAAGAAATGGACAAAACTAAGAGTTGGTTCTTTAAAAAGGTAAGTTGACAAACCCTTAGCTGGACTAGAAAAAAAAGAGAGAAGACAAAAACATATATAATCTGAAATGAAAGACAAAACATTAAAACAGATGCTATAGAAATAAAACGGATCATAAGGGACTATTATAAAGAATTGAAGCCCACAATCTGGACAATCTATAAGAAAGAGATACATTTCTAGAAACATACAACCTATCAAGATTAAATCAGGAAGACATAAGAAGCCTAAACAGACCAGTAAAAATACAGAGATGGAATCAATAATCAGAAATCTCTCAACAAAGAAAAGCCCAGGACCAGATGGCTATACAGGTGAGTTCTACCAATCATTTAAAGAGGAATGAATAAAAATCCTCCTCAAATTTTTCCAAAAAACAGAAGAATGACTATTTCTTAACTCCTTGTGAGGGCAGCATCACCCTGACACTAACACCAGAAAAAGACACTCTATTAGTCAGGGTTCTCTTAGAAGGACAGAACTAATAGGAGATACACACACACACACACACACACACACACACACACACACACACACACACACAAAGAACTTGGAGTCTGATGTTCGAGGGCAAGAAGCAACCAGCACAGGAGAAAGATGTAGACTGGAGGCTAGGCCTGTCTCTCCTTTTCCTGTTTTTCTGCCTGCTTTCTATTTGCTGGTAGCTGATTAGATTGTGTCCATGAGATTAAGGGTAGATCTGCCTTCACCAACCCACTTTCTTAAATGTTAATCTCTTTTGGCAACACCCTCACAGACACATCCAGGATCAATACTTTGTGTCCTTCAATCCAATCAAGTTGACACCGAGTATTCACCATCACAAGTCCACCCCTTGTCATCTTGAACCAATACACATCTCCTGAGATCATACCATAATCTTCAAATAAAGACATCATAATTATGCCTAACATAGTACAACTATCCTTTATACAACCAGAAATGCACCAATCCCCAACCCAAATACTCTTACATAAAGTTAACAATACTTAAATGCTGATATGATCTCAATAAATCTTTTATCACGTGATAAAGAAGAAAGGAAATACAATGAAGACATTTTCTTAGTGCAAGTGTATACATTCCCAGACATGTTTTTAACAGAAGAAGGAAGAAATACTCATGACAATTACAGTCCTTGTTTCTGCAGCTGGTCATGTGGTTATAGCTGGTATTGATGACTACCTTCTACTACCCATTCTGTATTTCCTTTGGCTTCAGCAAGCACCTCAGCAGGTCATGTTTTTTTTTTTTTTTCCTGGTGGACTGACCAAAACCTTCATTCCTGAAGGGTCTGGGTCATTTGTAGTCCTGCCTGGATTGGGCTGTTGTAGTTTCCCATTGACCTTAATCACAGGACATGGTAATACTAAGGGACACCCTAATGGATCTCCTGTATTCCATGCATACTCTTCCTTACCTCCGTTGTGTAATAGTAAACTGATTTTATCTTGATTGTCTGGGTCAGTCACCCCAGTCAACACTGTAACTCCCTTCTTAGCCTGTTGATTTAAGGTAGGGGAAGCCCAAAGTGTTCAGGTGGCAATCTTAACACCCAGTTTAATGGAATCGTTGTTGTGTCTCCTGGTGGCAGCATTCCTCCCCCTGGAAGTAAGACCTCTAGGCAAGCAGCACATAATGTCTTGGGAACAGGAAACAAACATTTTGCTAGTGGATCACTAGGGGTGATGGTGAGTGGTGCCACTTCCACTTCTACCCCTTGATTCCTGGACCCATGAATCCTGGCTATGGGAGAAACAGTACCATATATTGGATACTGGTTCAGAGCATACACGGCCTTCTGGAGAACTTTGCCCCAGCCCTGCAAAGTATTGTCACCTAGGTGGCATTGTACTTGTGATTTCAAAAGGCCATTCCACCATTCTATCAATCTAGCTATTTCAGGATGATGGGGAACATGGTAAGACCAGTGAATTCCATTACCATGAGCCCATTGCCACACTTCTTTAGCTGTAAAGTGAGTGTCTTGTTCAGAGGCAATGCTGTGTGGAATAACATGAGGGTGGGTAAGGCATTCTGTGCATCCATGGATGGTAGTCTTGGCAGAAGCATTGTGTGCAGGATAGGTAAACCCATGAGTAAGTGTCTCTTTCAGTGAGGACAAATCTCTGCCCTTTCCCTGATGGAAAAAGTCCAGTGTAATCAACCTGCCACCAGGTAGCTGGCTGATCACCCCAAGGAATGATGCCGTATTGAGGGCTCAGTGTTGGTCTCTGCTGTTGGCAAATTGGGCACTCAGCAGTGCCCTCTATAGCTAGGTCAGCCTTCTTGAGTGGAAGTCCATGTTGCTGAGCCTGTGTGTAACCTCCATCCCTGCCACCATGGCCACATTTTCATGGACTCATTGGGTGATGACAGGGGAGGCTGGAGAAAGAGGCTAAGTGGTGTCCAGAGAACAGGTCATTTTATCTACTTGATTATTAAAATCAAGCTAAACCACTGGCTATAGGCCATAAATCAGTATATAATCGCACATCTGGCCATTTCTTTTTCCACGCAAAGTGCACAACAAAATGCTCTGCTCAAAGTTCTTCCTACTGGGAAGATTCCCCTTTACCGCTGTTCTTTAGGGATGTCCTTGAAAGGGGCTGTAGTGCTGCAGCTGTCCACTTTCAGTGGTGCCTGCATATCGTGAAGAACCATCTATAAATCAGGACCTAGTCTTCTCTTCCTCTGTCAACTGATCATAGGGAACTCCCAATACGGCCATTGTGCAGGCTAGGAGAGAGAAGGCAGGGTTGCAGAAGTGGAGACCATGGGCATTTGAGCCACTTTTTCATGTAACTTACTTGTGCCTTCAGGACCTGCTCAAGCCTGATCACATATATGTCACTTCCATTTGATGATAAAATACTGCCATGCATGACCCATTTTATGGCTAGATGGGTCAAAAAGCACCCAGTTCATGACAGGCAGTTCAGGTCACATGGTGACTTGATGACCCACAGTTGAAGGTTCAGTTTCTACCAAAGCCCAGTAACAGGCCAAGAACTGTTTCTGAAAGGGAGAGTAGTTATCTGCAGAAGATGGCCGGGCCTTGCTCCAAAATCCTAGAGACCTCTGCTGCGATTCACCTTTGGGAGCCTGCCAAAGGCTCCAAATAGCATCCCTATTTGCCACTGACACCTCAAGCACCATTGGATCTGCTGGGTCATATGGCCCAAGTGACAGAGCAGCTTGCACAGCAGCCTGGACCTGTTGCAGAGCCTTCTCCTGTTCTGGACCCCACTCAAAACTGGCAGGGTCCAGGGTCAGTTGATAAATGAGCTGGAGTAACACACCCAAATGAGGAATGTGTTGCTTCCAAAATCCAAATAGGCCCACTAGTTGTTGTGCCTCTTTATTGATTGTAGGAGGGGCCAAATGCAGCAACTTATCCTTTACCTTAGAAGGAATATCTTAACAGGTCCCACACCACTGGACCCCTAGAAATTTTACTGAGGTAGAAGTTCCCTGAATTTTAGACAGATTTATTTCCCATCATCTGGCATGCAGATGTCTCACCAGTAAGTCCAGTGTGTTTGCTACTTCTTGCTCACTGGATCCAGTCAGCATAATGTCATCAATGTAATGGACCAGCATGATATCTTGTGGAAGTGAAAAACAATCAAGTTATCTCTGAATAAGATTATGACACAAAGGCAGAGAGTTGATACATCCCTGAGGTAGGACAGTAAAGGTATATTGCTGGCCTTGCCAGCTAAAGGCAAATTGCTACTGGTGGGCCTTATAGACAAAGGAGAAAAAGGCATTTCCATGTCAATGGCTGCATGCCAGGTACCAGGAGGTGTGTTAATTTTCTCAAACAATGAAATCATATCTGTACAGCAGCTACAGTTGGAGTCTCCACTTGGTTAAGCTTATGATAATCCGTCATCATTCCCCAAGATCCATCTGTTTTTTGCACAGGTCAAGTGGAAGAATTGAACAGAGATGTGGTGGGAATCACCACCCCTGAGTCTTTCAAGTCCTTGATGGTGGCACTAATCTCTGCAATCCCTCCAGGGATGCAATACAGGTTTTGATTTACTATTTTTCTAGGTAGAGGCAACGCTAGTGTCTTCCATTTGGCCTTTCCCACCATAATAGCCTTCCTCCTACCAGTCAGGGAGCCAATATGGGGGATATGCCAGCTGCTAAGTATGTCTATGCCAATTATGCATTCTGGCACTCAGAAATGACCACAGGATGAGTTTGAGGACCCACTGGACCCACTGTAAGTTGGACCTGATCCAAAACTCCATTAATTACCTGACCTCCATAAGCCCTTACTTTAACTGGAGGACCACAATGACGTTTTGGGTCCCCTGGAATCAATGTCAGCTCAGAGCCTGTGTCCAGTAGTCCCCAAATGTCTGATCATTTCCCTTTCCTCGTTGCACAGTTACCCTGATAAAAGTCCAGGGGTCTCCCTGGGGAAGGATTCACTGCATAAATTGTTGGTAATGTAGTGAGGTCCTTCCTCAAGGGGACCCAGCCTCCCCTTCATTCAAGGGGTTCTGAGTCTGTAAACTGGCCCAAGTCTGAAAATTGATGGAGGGGCCATGATTCTCAGTTTTTATAATTCTAATTAGTCTTTTGTCCATTTGACCTAGAAGATTTCTGTTTGTTTGTATAAATTAAGTAGGAATGCAGCAGGATTCCTATCAGTTTCACTTCTAGGAACACCGTGATTAGTTAGCCACTGCCAAAGCTCTACGCGAGTCAGACTATTCTGATTGCTGCTTTGCCTCTGCTGTCCATTATGGTAGCTATGCCCACCTTGCCTTTGATGGTCGAGTGCCAACACTTGGTCCTGTCCTGTTGGGATCCAATTATTCCAGTTGTATTTAAGTTTTGTAGTTGAGTGACTGTGGTTCCCATAATTAGATCTGACATACAGAGAAGAGCAATTACAGGACTCTTCAAAGATTCAGGTGCTGCCCTCAAAAATCTATTTCACAAGACATCGATCGACAGTATATCTTCTGGACCCTCCCAGCTGGGATGAGTAGTTCTAAAGTGACTAATCCACTCCACCATCCCAATCTCCGTAAGCCTTTTGATCCCTTCCTCTACATTAAACCAAGGGAGATCAGGCATTTCCAGCTCACTCACAGTGAGCCATCTTTTAATCCATATTTCATCTAACCAAGCAAATAAACTATTAGAACCATTTTAACTCCCTAAGCTGCAACATTAAACGCAGAGTCTCTACTTAGTGTGCCCAAATCAATAAATTCAGCCTCATCCAACTCTGTGTTTCTTCCACCATTATCCCATGCCCTTAACATTTATTCCCATGCCTGTTCTCCAGGTTGCTATTTATATAAATTAGAGAACTCAAACAATTATTTGAGTGTAGCACACTCCTCATGGGCCACACTCTCAATCTTACCTCTAGGGGCCCACCAGGACTTTAGTTACAGGTCTAGAAGCAAACAGAGGTATTGGGGGTGGCTTCTGAGGAGAATCAACATTATCTTGCCTGGCAACTGCCTCAGGGGAGGCCATCACTGTTGCCTTAGGCAGTGCAGGGTTTATCTCCTCAGACAAAGATGGAAAGGCTGATGGCAGCATGAGTTTGGCAGGGATGGGGAAGCTGTACCTTCTGGCAAAAAAGGTTCATCAGAGTTTACAAACTCAGCGTCCCCAGCTTCATCAGGGTCCTTCCCACATGTTCCCATTCCAAGTTGCGGGGTCCCATTCTTTTCCAATCAATGCTCTCATTTTAACAGTAGACACCTGGCAAGGCTGTGCATGCACCTTTCATTGCAGGTCAGCCACTCACATGATAAGAGCTTGTGTCTGTTTTTCCACAATTTCAGCTCTTTCTCTACAGGAGATAAGACTCTCACTCAGGGCAGTCTTAGCATATTTGAGGCTCAGTATCTGCTTCTGAAGCTGGGAGACAGAATCCCTGAGTTCATCATTTTCTTTCATCACTTTGTCCACTGAACTTAGGAGCAACCAACCAGCTTCATTATGTTCCTTGGTTCTCCACATATGGTCAAAGACATTGTGTATAGAGTCACTGAACTCCTTACCTCTCACAAGCAGTGAATCGGGAGTGTCAAATGCATTTATTTTCCATGACTCTCTAAACAGTTTATGCCAAGGACTATCAGTGTTCTCCATACTATTAGAAGTAGAGTCCTTAGCATTTTTGGGTCTAATCATATTAAGCAGCCACCTCCAGAAACCCCCAAACCAACAAAAGAACTCCATCCTTAATATTCTGTTCCTCTAGAACCACTCCTGGTACGAAAATCTGTATTAGTCAGGGTTCTCTTAGAGGGACAGAACTAATAGGAGATATACTTATATATGTATATATATATATATATATGGGAGTTTATTAAGTATTAACTTACACAATCACAAGGTCCTACAATAGGCCATCTGCAAGCTGAGGATCAAGGAGAGCCAGTCTGAGTCCCAAAACTGAAGAATTTGGAGTCTGATGTTTGAGGGCAGGAAGCATCCAGCATGGGAGAAAGATGTAGACTGGGAGGCTAGGCCTGTTTCTCTTTTTCACATGTTTCTGCCTGCTTTATATATGCTGGAAGCTAATTAGATTGTGCCCACAATCTAATCCGATGGATCTGGGGATCTGTCTTCCCCAGCCCACTGACTCAAATGTTAATCTCTTTTGGCAACACCCTCACAGACACACCCAGGATCAATACTTCGTATCCTTCAATCCAATCAAGTTGACACTCAGTATTAACCATCACAGAAATAAAAAAAAAATAAGAAATAAAAAAATGTAAAAGAAAAACCTATAGACCAATACCACTGATGAACATGGATGCAAAATTTCTCAACAAAAATACTAACAAACCAAATTCAAAAGCACATTAGAAGAATCATACAAGAAAAGTGTTATTTATTCCTGAGATGGATGGTTCAGTATATTCAAATCAATCCACATGATACAACAGATTAACAGAAGACTATAAATCATGTAATTATTTGAATAAAGGCAAAAGTAGCACTTGAAAAAATTCAACATTCTTTCATGATAAACACCCTTGATGAATTAGATATGAAAAGAAGTTATCTAAACACAATAAAGGCCATATGTGAAAATTCCATATGTAACATTATATGCAAAGGTTAAAAACTGAAAGCTTTCCCCCTAAAATCTAGAACAAGGCCAAAGATGCCCACTCTAGCCATTTCAATTCAACATAGTACTGGAAGTACTACCACAATTAGGCAAGATAAAGAAATAAAAGGTATCCAAATCAGAAAGCAGGAAGAAAAATGTTCTCTGCTTGCAGATAACATGATTTTATACGTAGAAAACTCTAACGACTCTGCCAAAAAAAAAGAACTATAAAAGAAATTCACTAAAATTACAAGATACAAAATTAACATTCCAAAATTAGTTACAAAGGCTGATGGCAATAACAAATTATCAGAACAGAAAATTAATAAAGTAATCCCATTTATAATAGCACCCCCCAAAAATGAAATGCTTTCTGGGTATGGTGGCTCATGCCTGTACTCCCAGCACATAGGGAGGGTTAGGGTGGGTGAATTGCTTGAGCCCAAGAGTTTGAGACCAGTCTGGAAATATGATGAAATCCTGTCTCTAGAAAAACTACAAAAACTGGCTGGGTGTGGTGGTACACACCTGTAGTCCCAGCTACTTGAGAGGACAAGGAGGGAGGATCACCTGAGCCTGGAGATGTCGAGGCTGCAGTAAGCTGTGATTGATTGCATCACTGCACTATAGCCTGGGTGACAGAGTGAGACCCTGTGTCAAAAAAAAAAAAAAAAAAAAGAAGAATGAAATAGTTAGGGATACACTAAAAACTGTAAAACAGTGGTAAACAAAATTAAAGCAGACACAAATAAATAAATGAAAGATATATTTATGGATTGGAAGAATTAATATTGTAAAAATATCCATGTCATCTAAAGCAGGCTACAGGTTCAATGAAATCCAATTCAAATCATAGTGAAATAGTTTCTAAACACTGGAATGGCAATGATTCTTGGTTATGATACTAAGAGCACAGGCAACAGAAGCAAAAATAAACAATTCGCATTTTGACAAACTAAAATACTTCTGCATAGTGAAGGATACAGTCAGCAAAATGAAAAGGCAACCTGCAGAATGGGAGAAAATGTTTGCAAACTATGTATCTAATTATGAGTTAATATCTAAAATATATAAGAAACTTCTATCACTAAATAGCAAGGAAAAATAGCATGACTTTAACAATGGGCAAATAATCTAAATAGACATTGCTTAAAAGAAGGCATGGCCAACAGGTATATGAAAAAGGTGCTCAACATCACTAATCATTATGGAAATGCAAATAAAAATCTTTATGATATATCACTTCACATCTGTTGGCTATAATAACAAAAGATAAAAACTGGTTAGAATGTAAAGAAAAGGGAATCTTTGTACATGGTTAGTAGTTACATAAATTGATGTAGTCTCTTCAGAAAATACAATAGTATGGAGCTTCCTCAAAAAACTAAAAATAAAACTATTGTTTGATACAGCAATCCTACCTCTGGGTTTATATATCCAAAGAAATTGAAAGCATAATCTCAAAGAAATATCTGCATTCCCATGTTCATTGTAGGCTTATTCACAGTAGACAAAACATGGATGCAACTTAAATGATCGTTGACAGATAAATAGATAAGAAAATGTAGTATATATGTGCAATGAGATATTATTCAGCCTTAAAAAAAAGGGAACCTTGCCTTTGTAAAAACATGGATGAACCTGGAGGACACTATGCTAAATAAAATAAGCTATACACAGAAAGACAAATACTACATGATACCACTCAGATCACGGTCTAAAATAGTCAAACTTATTGAAAAAGAAAATAGAATCATGATTGCCAGGATCTAAAAGGGGGCAGAAATGGGGAGGTATTAGTCAAAGGGTATAAAGTTTCAGTTATACAAAATGGATAAGTCCTAGAGATCTACTACAAGGCATAGTGCCTGTAGATAACAGTAGTGTGTTGTATATTTTAAGATTTTTTTTTTTTGAGGCGGAGTCTCGCTCTGTTGCCCAGGCTGGAGTGCAATGGCGTGATCTTGGCTCACTGCAAGCTCCGCCTCCTGGGTTCACACAATTCTACTGCCTCAGCCTCCCGAGTAGCTGAGGGTAGATCTTATTGTTAAGTAGTTATAAAGAGAAAAGGTTTAACTGACTCACAATTCTGCAGGTCTGGGGAGGCCTCAGAAAACTTACAATCATGGTAGAAGGGGAGGCAAACATGTCCTTCTTCACGTGGCACTGGGAAGGAGAAGAATGAGAGCCTAGTGAAGGTGGAAGCCCCGTATAAAACCATCAGACCTTGTGAGAATGTACTCACAATCACAAAAATAGCATGGGGAAAACTACCCCCATGATTCAATTACCGGGTTCCTCCCATGACACATGGGAATTATGGGAACTACAATTCAAGGTAAGATTTGGGTGAGGACAAAGCCAAACCATATCACCCCCTCCTCCCCAGCTACCCTTACAGCGTATTTCCAGCCTTGTTCTACTTTCTTTCTCCATGAGTTCAGTTTAATTGTTTTAATTTTTACCTGCCAGAAATAAGTGAGAACATGTGAAGTTTGTCTTTCTGTCCCTGGCTCATTTTACTCAACATAATGACTTCCAGTTCCATTCATGTTGTTGCAAATGAGAGAATTTCATTCTTTTTTATGGCTGAATGCTAATATTCATGTAGAAAGGCAAATAATTTAGATTAGCCAACTCAGTTTAAGAAAAACAACAAAGTCAGATGACTTATAGTACCCAGTTTCAAAACTAAATATGCAGCTACATTATTGAAGACCAGGTGAGCTTGTGAAAGGTTAGGCATGGACATCAATGGAATAGAATAGAGATTCCAGAAATTGACTCACTTGCGTGCATTTGACTGATATTTTTAAAAAGCACACAAGCTATTCACAGGAAAGGGATAATGTTTTAAACAAATGGTCCTTAAAAATAAACTTCAATCTATGCCTGGCATCATATACAAAAATTAACTCAAAATGGATCAAAACCTAAATGTAATGCCTAAACTCTCATAACAGTGGCAAAAAAGTTTGCTGGACAGGATATATATATATATATATATATATATATATATATATATATACACACACACACACACATATATATATATATACACACATATATATACACACACACATATATATATATACACACACATATATATATACACACATATATATATATATATATATATTCATTTTAAATGTAGAACCAGAAATTTTGGCATTGTGCTATCTTAGTGACAAAGGTAGCTTTATGTTGTTGCATAACTAGAACTTTATTCACATTATTTGAATTTAGTTGTTTATATGTTTTAGGTTTTAACTCAGGTATGAGATAATGTGACAGTGTGCTTCCCAGAAATCAAAATTCTATAAAGAGTTTCTCTTAAATAGAAACTCTTCTTAATTCTTTTTACGTCTAGAAGGGCAATATTAAAACAACCTTCTAGGTGCAAATTTGGAAACTCTCATTTTCTGCTCCCTGCTAGAGTTTCCCCTTTGGCTCAGCTTAAATATATCTCTGTTAAATAAACTTTCTGTAGCCCACAGCCTAAAGTATTTACAGATGCTAATATTTGGTCATCTATTTTTACATTTTTTCAGAAAATTCATCAGAGATTACCAAGGGAAATTATTGTTGGTTTTTTTCCGTGGTCACCAGCTTTCTGTTAACAATTTTCTTCACTCGTACAAACAAATCTGTCAAAGCAGTATTCCTAGTCTCAGGGCCTCTTACAGTTTCTTCATGTCATGTAATCTGAAGTATATACCAGTACCAGGTCAAAAGCAGAGACACATAAATTATCAATCAAAGGAAAGTTATTACTTTATCTCTCTACCTTATATATTTATTTTCAGTCAACCCATTATATAATCTACATGAAGATGTGATTAATGTAATTCTAGAACAAAGAGTATAACAAGGTAGAGATCATGGAGGTGAACATGAAAAAACCTACAAGTGTGAACCCAGGAACCAAGGTAAATGAAATGTTACAGCAAATGCAAGTAAATTAGACAAGAAATTAACAAAAGAGTCAGAGGTGTTGTGGTAAAGGGCAGATAGTGAATAAGCGGTATTCAATTGCCTAATGATAGAGAAACATAGGAGCCAAAAGTCTAAATAGTCTAAGACAAAAAATTAAGAGTCAGTAGATATCTATATTTATAGTCTGGAAAACGTTCTTAAGTGTTCAGAAAATTGTGAGAAACTGTGGTCAGAGGAAAATCCAGTGATCAAGGATTCTATAAGCAGTTGCTAAAGGAATAAGAAAGTTCATAGGAATCTACTCCTGGGGAAAGAGAGAAAACAAATTTACCTTCTAAGGAGCTGTAGAAAGGTGATGTAATTTGTCTGGAATTCTGAACATTGTCTAATTTTAAGACAGTGGACATTTGCTTTGGGAGAATTTTCTAGCTAGGTCCTGCTTCTAGGCATACATGCTTAGCATGGCAGGAGCTACACGAGAGGTGACATATAGCCAAGTTACAAAGATATTTTTACACCATGGCTTAGGAAATATATTCATAGGTTAGAATGGAAGCTCAGAATCATAATGCCTTATAGGTTTGGAAAATGTATTTTTTATTTACATACTCTTAGTAAATATGTTGGGGAAAAATCCAAAACTACAGTCTCTGACTGAAAGAATCATACTTGGGTAATTGTGAAGGATACCATCGAGAGGCTGCCCCTAGGGAGTCTATTTCGCAGTCTCATACACTTAGCTCATTTAGATTTTCCTTGCATGCAATCAACACTTTCTTCTGTTTAATTTAACTTTAATGAAGACATTTCAACAAATGTTTACTTTGTATCCTATAGCTTTTCATCCCCGGGATTTCAGAAATTAAAGAACTTTTTAGAAGCATAGGTGCAGCAAAATTAACAAGTAGTATCTTTGATTGAAACTTGAACATAAGGAGACAATATGAAGAATGTGTTATAACAATTGCATTGTGATTACATTTTTTAACATCAATGAAGACAGTTGACTATCTCAATAAACTCAAACCTATATAGTTTTCTTTAATTTTATGTTAATCAGACTTGATAAAATATAAAAAATAATAAATGATTATCAATATTTAGACTTGATCCATTTCTCTTTCTGCTAGACTATGGGACTTTGATTTGTCACTTATAGTTTCTAATGCCATATTATCACTTCCAAATAGCCTCTAGAAAGGACATCGGGTTCAAACTATGAGTAAATGAATTAGCAATTTCAGAGGATGCTCTGGTTAGCTGCATTAAAGGTCAGATAAAGACAAATGCTGTGGAGAAATTACTCATGAGCAAGAACCTGCAAGCAAGAATGCATTGCACATTTATGTCACTCTATTCCTAGAGCCTCCTCCTTCCTTCCATCTCTCTCTCTCTCTTTCTGTATCTCTGTCTGTCTCTGGACTACTCCTGCATCCAGTCAAACCACTTCTGGACATATTTGATTGGTTCTGAGGCAGACACTTGACCTATACAAAGCCACACAAAGGCCTTTATAGGATATTTCATACTAAAATTGAGAAGTGGAGAAATAGTACTTCTATGGTGGACAGAAAAATGGGATATTTTTTCATGCTACATGAAAAAACAGGCTCCAGGGAAATACATTTGTCTTTTGGTATCCTTGGGGAATTGGTTCCAGGAAGCTCCCACAAATACCAAAATCCACTGATGCTCAAGTCCCTTACATAAATGGTGTAGTGTTTGCATATAACCTATCCATATCCTCCCATATACTTTAAATCATCTCTAGTTTACTTATAATACCTATGGCAATGTAAACACTAGGTATTATAAGTAATCTAGAGATGATTTAAAGTCTATAGGAGGATGCACAGTATAGGGTAAATAGCATTTACATTGTACTAGGTATTATAAATAATCTAGAGATGATTTAAAGTATATGGGAGGATGTGCATAGATTATATGCAAATGCTACTCCATTTTATATAAAGGACTTGAGCATCAGTGGATTTAGGTGTCTATGGGAGGTTCCTTAAAGAACCAAAAGTAGAACTACCATTTGATCCAGCAATCCCACTACTGCGTATCTACCCAGAGGCAAAGAAATCATTATATGAAAAAGACATGCACATGCATGTGTATAAGCAGCACAATTCGTAATTGCAAAAATATGGAACCAGCTTAAATGCCCATCAACCAACAAGTGGATAAAAAAAATGCGGTATATATATACTATGAAATATTACTCAGCCATAAAAAGGAATGAAATAATGGCATTCACAGCAGCCTGGATGGAGTCGTAGACCATTATTTTAGGTGAAGTAACTCAGAAATGGAAAACCAAACATCGTATGTTCTCACTTAAAAGCGGGAGATAAGCTATGAGTACACAAAAGCTTGTGATACAATGGACTCTGGGGACTCGGGGGGAAGGAGGAGAAAGTGGTGAGGGATAAAAGACTACATATTGGGTACCGTGTACACTCCTTGGGAGATAGGTACACCACTAAAGAACTTATCCATGCAACCAAACACCACCTGTTCCCCCAAAACTATTGAAATAAAAATAAAAATACTAGTGCTTACATTGTTATATTGTATTGTTTAGGAAGTAATGACAAGAAAAAAAAATGTCTGTACATGTGTAGTACAGGAATGCCGTACTCTTGATGAGTCTACTCCCTTTCTGTCTACTCCTCCTGTGTTTTTACACAAGCTGGAGGAGGGATGGAGATAACTGGGATGATGGTTTATATGCAACCTGCTTGTGCATGTGTGTGTGTGTGTGTGTGTGTAACATATATAATAAATACATAAATAAAATGGAAATATTGCACTGAAAATGTTAATAGTAGTTATCTGTAGTTTGAAATTATAGAGGTTAATTTCTGTCTTGTGTTTTTCTGATCTTTGCCAAATTTTATGTTGAAGTTGGTCATTTTTTTCTTAACACAAAATTAAAATTATAACTTTTTAAAAGTGTGACAATTTAGTCAGTTGTGTCCATTAAAAGCCATGGCATTGTATTATCTATAGACTATTAAATTGAACAATAAAGTAACTTACAGGATTAGGAAATTGCATCTTTAATGTCACAAACACACATTTCTGTCTTTATTAATCACTCAGATTTTGAATAGAGAACATATTTCACTATCTTGCTCTTTTGTTTTACTAGATACTTGGGGAGACTTCTGGGATTTACTATACTCACTTATAGTTAATGAGTTTTTTGTGTATATAACAAATAATCTGGAAATTCATTATGTGATCAGCATCTCAGATACTTTACAAAGACTGGAACTTGCCCTGTGTAACTGTTAGCCTAACAGATAAGAGAATATGGAGTGTTGCTTATCATTAATAACATCAGATATACACAATCAGGAAGGTGGGAAAGATTATGCTTCTGCTAAAGATAAATGGAATTTTGGCTTATTTTGATTGACACTTAGATTAAGTGGATATAAGGAAAGTACAATCCAGAATACTAAGGTATTTTCTTCAAAATATTATTTGTGTGAACTCCATTTTAAACATTGATATGGTATTACATTGCCTGAACAGTAGCTCAGTTTCTATATGGCCAGATATTCTATGTCTCAGTTTTTTAATTGCTAGAATGAAGTAAAATATCTATTTCACAGAATTTTCAAGACACTTATGTGTAATTATGAATATATTTAAAAATAAAGAGCACTATACAAATCCAAGTATATTAGTCGGCTTGGGCTGTCAAAACACAATACCATAGACAGGTTTGTTTAAACAACAGAAGTGCCTTTCTCACAGTCTAGAAGCTAGAATTCTGAAATCAGAATGTCAGCATCATCAGTTCCTAACCAGGGCTCTCCCCTTTGTTGTAAATGGCTGTCTTCTTGCTGTGTGCTCACATGAATTTTTGTGTGCCTGGGCAGTGTGGCGGGGGAGAGAGAGAAAAAGAGAGGGAACCTGTGTGTGCACATGCTCTGATGTGTCTTCTTATAAGGGTACTAATCTCAGCATGAGGGTCCCAGCTTTATGACATCATCTAATCCTAATTACTTCCCCCAAACCATATATCCAAATACCTTCATATTGGAGGTTAGGGCTTCAACATATACGTTTTGGAGAGAACACTAACATTTTATCCATAACACCAAGTTGTTATTACTGGCAACATAATCATGGTAATTATATTAGTCAGGGTTATCCAGAGAAACAAAATCAATATGATTTGTCTCTCTCTCTCTCTCTCTATATATATATTATATCTATATATAATATAGATATAATATATAGAAATAATTCTATATATAATATATATTATACATAATATATTAAATTATATATTGTATATATAATTTAAAAAATGGCTCATGTGATATTATGGAGGTTGGCAAAGCTAAAGATCTACAGAGTGAATCTGTAAACTGGATACCAGAGAGAGTGGATGGTTTAGTTCTAGTCCAAGTCAGAAGACCTAAGAAACAGGAGAGCCAACAACGTGGTTCCAGTATGAAGCCTAGTAAGCTTGAGACCCAGGAAGAGCCTATGATTCCATTTGAATGTGAAGGAAAAAAAAATTGAAGGCAGTTAGGCAGGAAGAGCTCCCCCTTACTAGGGAGAAGGTCAGTCTTCTTGTTTTACTCAGGCTTTTACTGAATGGATGAGGCCCATTCATACTGGGGAGGGCAGTCTGCTTTACTGGGTCTATCCATTTAAATGTTAATCTCATTCAAAAAACACACCCAGAATAATGTTTGACCAAATATGTTGGCATCCAATGGCCCAGTCAACACAAATTTAACCAATGCAGTAATAACTGAACTGTTAGAAAAAGAACTGGCACCCAGACTTTTCCTGACTGTAATAATTTCATAGGTAGCACTATGTCTCCATGCTGAAATGAGCTAACAGGTGTGAAGAACCCAGCACAGTGCTCAGGAGGTAATATATATGCAGTAAATGTTCATATTCTTCCCTTTGCTTTACCCTTCCAGTAGCAACCAATTGCTCCATCAGCATCTTGAAAAGGAAACCTGGAGATTTTCTTGTTTGTTTTTGTAGGTGAACAGAGGGAACACATGGGTGTCCAAGGGAGAAAATACAGTCATGGGTTCTTAGTTTCTGTTTCTGATTGGGCCAGTAAAGCCCTGCCTTCATTCCTCTTTTCCACTTATCACTAGAGACAGAAACTAGAAACCATGGCTTTAGGCTGCTAAAAGCCTAAAACACAACACAACACAACACAACACAACACAACACAACACAACACAACACAACAGCAACAATAACGAAATAAGCCAGGACTTTAAGTCTGAAAGGCCCACTGTAAATATTTATTCTTGTAAGTTATATTTTTTCTTACCTGTCTCATTTCATTTTTTCTCTTTTTAGTTTTAGTAACTTTGTTATGATTTTCTTTTCTCTATCATTTACCTTTCATATTTAATTCCTAGAGAAGAATTGAAGTTTTGGAGCAGGCCAAACTCTTTAGAAATTACAGAAGATCAAGCAACTTGCTCAAAGTCACACTCTATTAGGAATGGCAGAACTAGACATAAGATAATTTTTTCTCCCTTCACATTCAATCATACTACTACTAAAATAGTCTGCATTACAATGTTGGTATATATTTTAAATTATTATCACTGAAAGAGGAATATATCAAAGTGCCTATTCCCCTTAAAATGATCAGGCTAAAAAGAATATATTACTATTGCCCTAGAATTTGAATGCTTTGTAAAGAAAACAAAAACTAAAATATATGAGACATTAAAATTTACCATGAACTTGCTATTTATATAATTACATAAGTAAGATAAAACTAATCCTTATATAATTAACTGTATTTTATATTTGTATATAAAATCTGCTCATTACCAATTATAAATTATAAATCTAAGATAATCATGTAATTTCTTATTAAACACCTAAACTAAAATAAAATAAGCAATTGAATTTTTAAGTTTATTTTTGTATTTAATGTTTTAACTAATCTGTATCACAGTACATAATAGACTTTTCTATATAATTCTTAATTTTTCTATTGTTAGAAAAATGAAATATCAGTAAACGTGTTTTTCATTAAAGAATATCTTAAACAGCTTTCATGCTATAGAATAAATTGCTGTTAATAATCTCTAAGACGAAATTTAGGAAAAAGTTGGTATATCATAATCCATTTGAAAGGAGAATAGGGGAAGAAAGCAATTGGTGAGCATAATCAATTATCCTAAGGAAAATATAAACAAATGTTAGCTCTGCTTAAAATCTGTTTGGAGTTTTATTGTCTTGTTTACTTTTGATTTCAAAGGGTAACAATCAGATTCACTTTCCGTAGTTACTTGTACAAGCATAAAGTAACACAGAAAGTTTATATATACACAAAAGTAAGAACAGTGATTCCCTATTCTAAGGCTCTGGTTGGGGAATGGCAGAACTGGGCAGATGGGTAACCAGATTGGAAGGAAACTTCTCATGTACACTTTTTTTTTTTATAGTTTCTTGTTTCAGAACTATGTAAATGCATACTTTATCAAACAATGACATTTAAAATTAATTTTTTTAAAAAACAAATGATTATTTCCATGTTTTATCTTGTCCGAGTAGATCTGCTGACCCAGTTTGCTGAGCTCAATATTTGTGTTTTGCTTAATGGCAGAATATTTTTCTTGGGGTCCTATTATTTGTCTGACTGCCAGAGATCTTGGTGAATATTACCTGTCATCTCTTGTAGTCTAATTAGTGTATAATCTTACAAGCATAACACACCCAAATTTGATACAATAGTAATACCCAAAGGCTCAAAAGCAGTACTTAGGAACTTAGTTTTCTATAGTGATGGCAGAAATAAATCTGTTACGAAATATTGCTGCCATGGATAATTCATTCCATGGAGGTCCTAAAAAGTGACATCCTAACTACTTTGATTCTATTATTTCTTCTAAAAAACAGCTCTAGACAAGAAGTAATCTCATGGAGATTAGGCAAATCTGTATGGCTCTAATTTCCATATGAATTGCAAGATTAAGGTTGAGACTTTGTGCCTGGAGTCTCATAAAGTGGATAAAAAAAGAGCATCACATATGTCAGGAGAAGGCACCTTAATAAAACTCAGGCTTTAGGGAGAACTGAGGCAGATGTGGAGTATAAAAGTATTTTAATTTTTCTCCCCTGTCAAATGTGGAGCAACAACTTTAAAAAGTGAATGATTTCTTTTATGGATGGACTTCAGTAGTAAAGGAAGTGCATTAGTTCAATGCCAAAGAAAGAGAAGAATTCTGTGTGTTCTGTTATGTCATAGTCCTGTGGTGAGCCCTGAAGCGTAACTTGTAGACAAATCCCACAGCAATAGTAAGGCAGACAAATTGCCTTTATATATTTTAAGGCATAAAAGTTAAGAGCAGATATAAGTAATAGCAAAAATTCATTTGAGCTGAGGGGCCGAGTTGTAGTTGGTATGGCAACTATTGCTTTGAATTTTCTGACCTTTGTGTAAAATAAAATCCCAGCTATATTCTTTCCATTAATGGAAACACATAATAAGATGCTTGGTAACGTATGAGACCTGCGTAGAGGCCAGCTCCTGAGTCCAAGGGAATGAAATACTGGAAATGCAACGTGAAGCATATGTATATATATATATATAAAAGATTGTGTCCCTTGTGATAGCAAATATCAAATATAAACGAATACATTTTCAGATTTATTACATTTTCCTTTTAATTAAAATTTTCCTTAGCTATAACCATATATTCATTCAATTATTCATTTATATAACAAATATTTGTTAAGCAGCTATTATATACCTGGCACCATTTAAAGAACTTTGCATAAAACAGTGACCAAAAGGGAAAAATATGTTAAAAATATGTTAGTTCTCATGGAGCTTTCACTCTATTGGGGTAGATGTGTTGAAAGCTAAATGAGTAAGTAAAACATAAACTACATTAGATTGTTAGAAATGAAATGGGGAACAATAAAGCAGATAAGAGGAATATGAAACATTGAGGGAGACAAATTTTAGATACGTGGTCAAGGAAGGCCTTTGAAAAAGTTGATTACCAAGCAAAGACCCAAAGGTTAATGAGGAACAGGCCATGGGCATATCTAGGGAGAGCACATGTCAGGAAACCCTGAATGAAAAGGCTGCCTGGTGGGTTTAAGTAGCCCTCAGGATCAGCCTAGTGAATACCATAAAGTAGTAGAAGATGAAGTTATAAAAGAAATGAGGACAGAGGGGAAAGAAGACTTTCCTTAGGTTTTGTAGGTGTAGCAAGGAGTTTGGGCTTTACTCAGAGTGAGCTGGGAACTCATAAGAGGTTCTGAGTAGAGGAGTTATAATAAGCGCTAGCCCACGTGTCAATAGGGGCATTCTGGTTGTTGTGTTAAGAAAAAACTACAGTAGGGGCAGAGAGGGATGCATTAAGAACAGGTAGGGCTATAGCAGTGATCTGCACAGTTATGGCCAAAGGGTAGCAGTAGAGCTGGTGAGAAGGTGAAGATGTCAGATCCTGGTTTATATTTTTATAGTTAAATGGAAATACTGATTAATGGGTTGGATATAGGATGTTAGAGAAAGTAAGAAGTCAAAATGAGGTCCAGTTGGTTTTTGCCTGAGTTACCAAAATCACAGAGTTTACATTTACTTAGAAGGAAGACCAACAAGAACAGATTTAGGGAAACAGAATAATATCAGCATCTCAATTTTGGTTGTAATAAATTTGAGATGTCTATGAGTACGCTGAGTGGAGAGGTGTAGTTGAAGATAAAATGTGTAATCATCATTGTGTCGATGGTGTTTAAAGCCAGAAAACTGGATCTGCCTGAGTGGTAACTGTTTAAGAGATCAAGATTTGAATGACTGAGAAGGTACAAGAAGTTATTGGATCACTGTACTAATTCATGCTTCCTGGTACTGATGCAGTTAGGAACATCCTATTGTCACATTGTAGGCTTGTATTTATAGACCAGTGAATCTTCAAATGAATCAGAACAAAATTATTTGGCCCAAACACATCCAGCTGTCCTGGAAACAGGGAAAATGCCTTTTGTGTCTCAAGTTCTTGGCTTCATCGCTGTTCAGCTACCCCCGGCATTGATTCTTACAGTGCCCATTGACCAAACACTTGAAAACATTCACCCTGGTTACACTCTGTCCTTCTGTGCATTTTTTTTTTTTAATTAAACTTGTCATGTTCTGAAATTATTTATTTTCTGAAGCCCTCATTAGAGCTTAAGTTCTGTGGTACAGACTACATCTATCTTACTTGCTGCTGCAAACTCTGTGTTCAGAAAAATCCCTGTCATACAAGAATTGTCCAATATTTGCATCCAGATCACAGCATGGTCTAATGGAGTCCCTGCATCCTCATAAACAGAGGGAGCCAAAACCTTTGTGCGTCTTCTCTCTGCCCAGAATGCCTATTGCTCTCCATACACTCTTAAAGCTGTAAAAAATTAATTCACCTTTTTCCCACATGCAGGCAAATGGAAATTATTCTTGAACTATGTTTAATTTTAATTCCAATCAGAAAAAATGGAAAGTAGGTAGGAACTTAAAAAAAAAACCTGATACATATCTTTAAAACAGATGGAACAAAGGCTATAGTTAGACCCTTTACTTCATAAGATAGATGTGTTATTCTTTATTTTATGTGTATGTTATAGAGGAATGATTTGTGAACTCTAAATCAGAACAACTAGCTTCAAATCCTGATTTTGGGACATATCGAATGTCACCATGGACATTGCCATTTTGGAGTTTGCTTTTTCATTGCCGATATGAGAAAAAGAACACTCATATCGGCACTGAGTCACTGCAGTTGACTCAGGCAAGAAGCTCACCCACTCGCTCTTCTCCATCAACACATCACTGTGTGCAGCGATTAAGGAATAAATGCCCCCAGCCAAGCCAAAAAGGAGGAGTGCAGTGTGCCTTTTTCTGCGTATCCCAGAGGCCAGCTCTTCCTTGCGACCAGCAATCGTAAGGCATCAAGTCTTCCTCTGAGGGGACTGTAGGCTTTGCTGTCTGTTTTCTGCATCAAAGTATCTCTAAATATTTGAGAGTGTGGAGAGCACCAACCAGTAAATGGCTTCTATTAGAGTGATATCAGTAGTGCCACCACTGAACCTACCTAAAGCAATAGGAGGTAAGATGGAATTCCTCACAAGTTGTGAGCATGGTAAAAGGCAAGTGCCTAAGGTGTCCTTGATAATAAAGTCTCAACTTCTTTCTTCACTCTGTCCTGTCTGCTGTCAACCTAAGATTTATACTCCCAATGCATAGATTGAATTATGTTAGTCCCTGCCCTAAACTCTTCACTACCTCTCTCAAACCTAACAAGATGGATGCCTCTGCTGTTCACAATATTGCTTCATGTTTTAGTAGTTGAGTATTTGTGGAAAAGACCTCTTTGAGTCGGTTTCCTTATCTATACAATGTGAATAACTTTGGCATTTATCAGAGGGTTGTTGTGAGGATTAGATGAGTTAACACATTTAAGCATTGGAAAAATGTCACACAATGCTTGTTATTGAGAATAGCAATGTTATTGTTAATTGTTATTATATGATAGTGACTTTCCTGAAGGAATAAAATAATAAATAATAAAAACAGCACAAGCCTTCGAAATCATTCAAGTGTGTGTTTATATTCTAGATCCAATATGTACCAAATTGTTATGTTAGGCAATTTGCTCAGCTTTTTCACTAGAAAAGTGGAGTTAACAATTTCACTTCATCAAGTGATTTTAAAGGTCAGATTCAATTACAGTAAATATATAATTAATGTCTGCCCCATTAATAGATGTGCGTAAAGTGTAGTTATTATTTGATAGTTTAACATTTCATCACTCAAAACTCTCTTTTATTCCCAACGCAAATTGATATACTGTGACTATACAAATAGTATGTGCTTACTGTGAAAATGATTTATACATAAAATATATGAGGAAAATGGTAAAAATTATCCAGAATTCCACCTAAGACAATCACTAACTTCATAGACCTAGCTTTCATGATTTTTAAATGTTTCTATACTCACATGCACATATATATAATATTTTACACAAACTGTACTATACTTCTTTTATCATATATACTTTTACTCATTTTATTCATATATAATTGGCATAAACTGCACATATTTAAAGTGAATGGTTTGAAAATTTTTGACATGTATATACACCCATGAAACCATCACCACAATCAAGATAATGACTACCTCCATTGCTCTGAAAAGTTTCCTTATATCCTTTTATAATCTCTCTCTCTTGCCTACCTTGTTTTCTGTCACTCTGGATTAGTTTGCATATCTTATAATTTTATATAACTGGAATCATACGGTGTATACTCTTTTCCTGTCTGACTTGTTTTACCCCACATAATTATTTTAAGATTCATTCATGTGTCACTTATCAATAATGTATTCCATTTATTGTCAAATAGTCTACAGTAGTAAAGCTATATTACAATATATTTATCTAGTAACTTGTTGATGGACATTTGGGCTCTATTCCATTTTTGACTATTACAGATAAGTTGCGGTGAACATTTGAATACAAGTTTTTCTATGGATATACATTATCTTCCCCTTAAATACACAGGAGTGGAATGGCTTGGTCATATGGTTGATGTATGTTTAATTTTTAAAGAAGATTTCCAAATGTTTTTTCCAAAATTGTTGTGCTATTTTACATTTTTTTTCTTTTTTTTAATTATTATTATACTTTAAGTTTTAGGGTACATGTGCACAATGTGCAGGTTAGTTACATATGTATACATGTGCCATGCTGGTGTGCTGCACCCATTAACTCATCATTTAGCATTAGGTATATCTCCTAATGCTATCCCTCCCCGCTCCCCCAACCCCACAATAGTCCCCAGAGTGTGATGTTCCCCTTCCTGTGTCCATGTGTTCTCATTGTTCAATTCCCATCTATGAGTGAGAACATGCGGTGTTTGGTTTTTTGTCCTTGTGATAGTTTACTGAGAAAGATGATTTCCAGTTTCATCCATGTCCCTACAAAGGACATGAACTCATCCTTTTTTATGGCTGCATAGTATTCCATGGTGTATATGTGCCACATTTTCTTAATCCAGTCTCTCATTGTTGGACATTTGGGTTGGTTTCAAGTCTTTTCTATTGTGAATAGTGCTGCAATAAACATACGTGTGCATGTGTCTTTATAGCAGCATGATTTATAATCCTTTGGGTATATACCCAGTAATGGGATGGCTGGGTCAAATGGTATTTCTAGTTCTAGATCCCTGAGGAATCGCCACACTGACTTCCACAATGGTTGAACTAGTTTACGGTCCCAGCAACAGTGTAAAAGTGTTCCTATTTCTCCACATCCTCTCCAGCACCTGTTGTTTCCTGACTTTTTAATGATTGCCATTCTAACTGGTGTGAGATGGCATCTCATTGTGGTTTTGATTTGCATTTCTCTGATGGCCAGTGATGATGAGCATTTTTTCATGTGTCTTTTGGCTGCATAAATGTCTTCTTTTGAGAAGTGTCTGTTCATATCCTTTGCCCACTTTTGGATGGGGTTGTTTGTTTTTTTCTTGTAAATGTGTTTGAGTTCATTGTAGATTCTGGATATTAGCCCTTTGTCAGATGAGTAGGTTGCGAAAATTTTCTCCCATGTTGTAGGTTGCCTGTTCACTCTGATGGTAGTTTCTTTTGCTGTGCAGAAGCTCTTTAGTTTAATTAGATCCCATTTGTCAATTTTGGCTTTTGTTGCCATTGCTTTTGGTGTTTTGGACATGAAGTCCTTGCCCATGCCTATGTCCTGAATAACAGGATCTGAAATTGTGGCAATAATCAATAGCTTACCAACCAAAAAGAGTCCAGGACCAGGTGGATTCACAGCCAAATTCTACCAGAGGTACAAGGAGGAATTGGTACCATTCCTTCTGAAACTATTCCAATCAATAGAAAAAGAGGGAATCCTCCCTAACTCATTTTATGAGGCCAGCATCATCCTGATACCAAAGCCAGGCAGATACACAACCAAAAAAGAGAATTTTAGACCAATATCCTTGATGAACATTAACGCAAAAATCCTCGATAAAATACTGGCAAACCGAATCCAGCAGCACATCAAAAAGCTTATCCACCATGATCAAGTGGGCTTCATCCCTGGGATGCAAGGCTGGTTCAATATACACAAATCAATAAATGTAATCCAGCATATAAACAGAACCAAAGAAAAAAACCACATGATTATCTCAATAGATGCAGAAAAGGCCTTTGGCTATTTTACATTTTTATCAGCAGTTGTATGAGAGTTCCAATCCAGTTCCTCCATAGCCTCATAAACACTCTTTGATGGTCAGTCTTTTTATTAAAGACATTCTAATGGGTACATGCTATTTCATGATGGTTTTAATTTGTATTTTAGTAACTAGTGTTGGAGCCCAGAAAACACTGCAAAATATGGTGTCTTAGCATGCTGAGTGCTTTGAATTAAAGAAAATTAAAAGGCCTCATAAATAAGCCTCAGGACCAACATCTTTCTCTGACCTTTCCCCAACCCCTTCTCTCTCTAATTCTCTTTCTTTTCTGAAGCACCTGGATAAACTTATTCTGAAATTTTCTTATCTGACTAAGGAAATTTCTCTCCAGAGGACATGCAATTATCCTAAAACCCTCTCCTGTGAAATATCATCAAATAACTCAAAAAGATAAACCACTGGAGAAGAGATGAAAAGTTACCATGGCCAGAAGAGCTTTTCATCTATTCTTCTGAGGTCAGCTCCAAGAGATTGCCTGGGAGACTTAGCTACCTAAGACAACCTTTGTTCACAGTGAAGGTCTGTTCCTTGCCTTCCTGCCATCTCCTCTCCACCATCTCTTCTGGAGCTCCAAGAAACTTTGTCCCAGGTCTTTGTTATTTAGGCCCATTTATTTCTCCTAAAAATCATGTACTACCTCTCTAAAATTACCTACGGCCCCCTGAGTTCCCTCCCGCTTATGAAGAGGGTATTTCAGCCTTAACTATCTGGTTCTTCTTCGAGTCTCATTTTTACAGAACTTCTGTGTCCATATGCATGTTAATAAATTTGTAAACATTTTTCTACTAATTTGTCGATTGTCAATCATTGCAGCTAACCTTCAGAAGGGACAGAAGGGAAGCTTTCTCTCTGCTCCTACACCAGTGATTTTGAACATCTTTTTAAGTGCTTACTTCCCATCCTTATATCTTCAGTGATATGTCTACTTAAATTTTTTGTCCATTTTTTATTGTTTTCTTATTTTTCAGCTTTGAGATTTATATATTCTGGATATAAGCTGTTTACCGGTTATATGAGTTGCAACTATTTTCTTCCAATTTTTACTTGTATTTTCATTGTCTTAAGAGTTTTCTTCCCCCAAATAAAGAGGTTTTAATTTTGATGAGGTCAAATTAATTAATTTTTTATTTTATAGGTCATTGTTTTGGTGGTATAGTTAATAATTATTTGCCTCACTCAAGGCCACAATGATTTTCTACTATGTTTTTTTCTACAAGTTTTGTAGTTTTAGGTCATATTTAGGTCTATGATCTATTTTAAGTTTTATTTTGCATTGTGGTAGAATCTATGACTTAAGTGCATATTTCCTTTGTATATGGATATGCAATTTTTCCAGCACCACTTGAAAAGACAACATGTATACATACTTTTTCCACTGAATTACCTTTGGATTTTTGTTGAATGTTAGTTGGCTATGATGTAGGTCTACTACTGAACTTTCCATTCTGTTCCATTGATCACTTTCTCTATTTTGATGCCAAACCACATTGTCTGAACTATTATATCTTTGCAATAGACTTTGCAGTTAGGTAGCTCTCCGACTCTGTTCTCATTCAAAATTGCACTGTATATTCTAAGTCTTTTGCATTTTCATGTGAATTTTGGAATTAGCGTATTAATTTCCATGAAAAAACTATGCTGTAGTTTGATATGGATCGTTTTGAATTTAGAGATCAGTTGGGAGCAATTGACATCTTAACATAGTGTTAAACCTGTTGTTAAATATACTCACATTTTAAAATATCAGGTTATTTAAAATAATAGAATATTTTATACAAATTGATATTTTTATCTTTTGTGCTTTAATAAAATCATAGTTTTGTATGTTTTTTTTTTGCCTTTTTTCTCTCTTCTCTCTTTCCCTACCCGCTTTCAAAAAAAATAATGCAACCAATGATACAATCCTTATGTATTCAGTCATTATTATTTCCATGCTGAAAGAAATCATCTTAAAATGAAAATATGCCTCTTGGACCTCCAATAACAGGGAGCCTAATTGACCTGTGGCCCTTGCTGCTGAACTCTGAAATCCATCCACCTGTTGGCATGAAGGCCACACTTCCCATGAACCTAGCCAGTGATTGAAAGTGGAAAGACAACAATGGCAGGGTCATTTCTGCAAAATTGGAACTCTAGCAGGCAATTTTGGCTGGATGACTCCCTCTCAGCCTTGCCAAACTTTATTAGACCTGCAATGTAGTAAATGTCTCTTTCATCAAATCTTCCTTGTTCCCTCTCTCCTTCATAGAAGACCTTCCCAGACTCCCCCAGCACCCACCTCATTTGCCTTTCCAGAATTTTTTTTTATTATAAATTTACTTTCACATCTAGTTTCTGCTTTTTGGAGAACTTGTGCTCATAAAACATTTCTCAGCATTTCTTCCTTTTTTCTGTCTTAACAATGTGTCATGGCAATTCCTTCAAATCAACTGGTACAGGTCTAAACTATTTTTTGCTTTTGTTTTTGTTTTTGTTTTTGAGATGGAGTCTCACTCTGTCACCCAGGCTGCAGTGCAGTGGCAAGATCTTGGCTCACTGCCACCTCTGCCTCCTGGGTTCAAGCGATTCTCCTGCCTCAACCTCTTGAGTAGCTGGGATTATAGGTGCCCACCACCACGCCCAGCTAATTTTTGTATTTTTAGTAAAGATGGGGTTTCGCCATGTTGGCCAGGCTGGTCATTGATGTATAGTATTCCATAGATATTACGTTGCTGAATTTTTTCAATTTTTCTCCAAATATATATATTTTTTGCCACTTGAAACAAAGCTTTAATAAATGTTCTCTATGTGTGTGTTGAGTGCGTTTCCTTAGATTTGCAAGCTTGTTTCTATGGAATGGATGCTTCCATGTGGCATTACTGTATTTTGACAGTGAATAAATATTGCCAGTCTACTGTCTAAAATGACAATATACTATATTATTATCACCTGAAATCCCAGCAACAATTTGAATTAATACTTGTTAAGTATTAACAACTATCGTTTTGTCTTTCTAGTAGGTATGAAGTGATATTATCTTAATTCACATTTCTATAAATACTAAGGCAATATAAAACCTACAGAAAATAATTTCTTAGAAAATATTAATTACCAATTTGAATTAATTAGAAAATAAAAACTTAAGTGAACATTAACATATTTACTTATTTATTTGAGACAGGGTCTCATTCTGTCACCCAGGCTGGAGTGCAGTGGTATGATCATGGCTCACTGCAGTCTTGACCTTCTGGACTGAAGCCATCCTTCCACCTCAGCCTCCTGAGTAGCTTGGACTTTAGGGCACACGCCACCATGCCCAGCTAGGTTGTGTGTGTGTGTGTGTGTGTGTGTGTGTGTGTGTGTGTGTGTGTGTGTGTGTGTGTATGTGTGTAGATGGGGTTTTGCCACGTTGTTGAGGCTAGTGTTGAACCCCTGGACTCAAGTGATACTCCCACCTCAGCTTCCTGAAGTGCTGCGATTACAGGTGGTAGCTACCGTGCCCAGCCAACATCAAAATTTTTAGAATATTATTTATAATTTCTAATTTACAAAAGCAACAAATAGTTTTAAAGCTAATCTTGAAAGAACAAGTATTATTATCAGTTAATATTAATTTAAGGAGAAAATTACCAAAGAAGACAAAGATGAGTGCTATGTAACATTCGAAAGAAAACAATTTTTTTTATTATTATACTTCAAGTTCTGGGGTACATGTGCAGAACGTGCAGGTTTGTTACATAGGTATACATGTGTGATGGTGGTTTTATTGCACCCATCAACCTGTCATCTATGTTAGGTATTTCTCCTAATGCTATCCCTCCCCTAGCCCCCAACTGGGGCCTCCCCAGGCCCCAGCGTGTGATGTTCCCCTTTCTGTGTCCATGTGTTCTCATTATTCAACTCCCACTTATGAGTGAGAACACGCGTGTTTGGTTTTCTGTTCTTGTTAGTTTGCTGAGAATGATGGTTTCCAGCTTCATCCATGTTCCTGCAAAGGACATAAACTCATCCTTTGCTATGGCTGCATTGTATTCCATGGTATATATGTGCCACATTTTCTTTATCCAGTCTATCATTGATGGGCATTTGGGTTGGTTCCAAGTCTTTGCTATTGTGAACAGTGCAGCAATAAACATACGTATGCATGTGTCTTTATAGTAGAATGATTTATAATCCTTTAGGTATATACCTAGTAATGGGATTGCTGAGTCAAATGGTATTTCTGGTTCTAGATCCTTGAGGAATCTACACACTGTCTTCGACAATGGTTGAACTAATTTACACTCCCAACAACAGTGTAAAAGTGTTCCTATTTCTCCACATCCTCTCCAGCATCTGTTGTTTCCTGACTTTTTAATGATTGCCATTCAAAGTGGCATGAGATGGTATCTCATTGTGGTTTTTATTTGCATTTCTCTAATGACCAGTGATGATGAGCTGTTTTTCTTATGTTTGTTGGCTGCATAACTGTCTTCTTTTGAGAAGTATCTGTTCATATTCTTTGCCCACTTTTTGATGGGGTTTTTTTTTTCTTATACATTTGTTTAAGTTCTTTGTAGATTCTGGATATTAGCCCGTTGTCAGATGGATAGATTGCAAAAATTTTCTCCCATTCTGTAGTTTGCCTGTTCACTCTGATGATAGTTTCTTTTGCTGTGCAGAAACTCTTTAGTTTAATTAGATCCCATTTGTTAATTTTGGCTTTTGTTGCCATTGCTTTTGGTGTTTTAGTCATGAAGTCTTTGCCTATGTCCTGAATGGTATTGCCTAGATTTTCTTCTAGGGTTTTTATGGTTTTATGTCTTAGGTTTAAGTCTTTAATCCATCTTGGGTTAATTTTTGTATAAGGTGTAAGGAAGGTGTCCAGTTTCACTTTTCTGCATATGGCTAGCCAGTTTCCCCAACACCATTTATTAAATAGGGAATCCTTTCCCCATTGATTGTTTTTGTTAGGTTTGTAGACATCAGATAGTTGTAGATCTGTGGTATTATTTCTGAGGCCTCTGTTCTGTTCCATTGGTCTATATATCTGTTTTGGTACCAGTACCATGCTGTTTTGGTTACTGTAGCCTTGTAATATAGTTTGAAGTTAGGTAGCGTGATGCCTCCAGCTTCGTTCTTTTTGCTTAGGATTGTCTTGGCTATGTGGGCTCTGTTTTGGTTCCATATGAGCTTTAAAGTAGTTTTTTCTAATTCTGTGAAGAAGGTTAATGGTAGCTTGATGGGAATAGCATTGAATCTATAAATTACTTCAGGTAGTATGGCCATTTTCATGATATTGATTCTATCCATGACCAGGGAATAGTTTTCTATTTGTTTGTGTCCTCTCTTATTTCCTTGAGCAGTGGTTTGTAGTTCTCCTTGAAGAGGTCCTTCACGTCCCTTGTAAGTTGTATTCCTAGACATTTAATTCTCTTTGTAGCAATTGCGAATGGGAGTTCACTCATGATTTGGCTCTCTATTTATGTATTATTTATGTATAGGAATGCTTGTGACTTTTGCACATTGATGTTGTATCTTGAGACTTTGCTGAAGTTCCTTATCAGCTTAAGGAGATTTTGAGCTGAGATGATGAGGTTTTCTAAATATACAGTCATGTCATCTGCAAACAGAGATAATTTGACTTCTTCTCTTCCTATCTGAATTCCCTTTATTCCTTTCTCTTGCCTGATTGCCCTGGCCAGAACTTGAATCTCTGTGCACCAACAATATGGTAGCTAAATATGAGAAGCAAAGATTATCATAGGCAAAATGATCTTAAAATAAAGTATAATTAAAGAGTTTAAAACCACTTTCAGAAATAGATAACCATAGTAGAAAAAAAAATGTGTACAAAGAAGAATAATATAATTAAAGTCAATTATACATAGTAATATAATTTGTCGGTTATACATTGGGAGATTCCTGAATTATTTAAATTATAGAAATAGATGATAAAAAGTTTCTTCAGAAATTTTAACATGATTTCTCTGAGCATTTTGTTTCAAGCTATGGACCCAAATATTTTTTCAACCAATAAGATTTTTCACAATTTGTTACTCAATTCCTGCCCTTAATTTCTGTTCTTTACTTTACCTCCATTTTGAATTTTTAATATCTGCCTGTGTCTCTCCCAGTTTGTTCCTCCAGCTCTCTTACCTTCTGTCTTATAATTTCTATCTTTTTTTTCTTTGTGTTGCAAGATTTTTATTTTTTGGGTCTTACAGGCAAATTGTTAGTTTCTCAAGAATATAATCGTGTGTTATCAATTGGTAGATTTTTAAATTTGATAATAATTTCTCAGTCCCCCAAAAAATGTGTTCATAAATGTTTTTGTGGTTATTGTTTATAATAATCAAAGCTTTGTAAATTAACATTAGTGTTTTGTCCAAGTTACAAATTTCCTCCTTAGCAATTGTTTTCCACTAGTTGCAGCATGATCTGGTCTGCTTCTCTTTCTTCTCTGGCTGATGCATTTCCTGAGGTGTTATTTTTCTTTGCCCATTCTTGGCTACCTTGCAGCTCAAGATCAGTTTTTTTTTTTTTTTCCCAGCAGTGACAATCCTACCCTGGAAAGGGTAAAGGGTCAGTGGTGTCCACTTCTGAGAGCTAGCTGTGTGTAACTCCCTGAAGGAAGGAACTCTGCATTCTGGGCTTCTTAGCTGCAATGGCCAGCAGCTTTAGAGGTGAAGATTACTGAGCCTACTGTTCTTCTTCCTCCGTGGCTGTCTATGAAACCCCCGAGATCTCTAGGTGCTACCAGTTAGATTTCCAAAGCCTATTTGGCCCTTCCCCTTGAGAGTTTCTAGGGACTACTCTTGTTTCTAATTTTTGCCCCCAGACAGTTGGTGGCTAAGTTCTAGGTACTCCTCAAGATCAGAGAAAGAAAGTCTTGAGCCTGACCACTTTTCACCAGGATTCCAATAGACTTCACAGCCTTGTTCCATCATCTGGATCATGTCTTCTGGCTTCAGCAATGTATCTGGCAAAGAATGAGGGTTGATGATAACATTGTATTGCAGCTGCGAGTAGAGAGCCAGGTAGGTATGTGAAAGTCATTCCCCAGATTTCTGCTATTCCCCAATGTACCCCATGTATATACAGGAAAACTTATGTTTTTTAAAATTGAACAAATATTCTTGCTTTGTTTCTTTGCTTACACCTGGAGTACTTTACTCTTCATCACTCCCCCGGTTTATAAATATTACCTATTCTTCTAAGTTCACTTTAAATAATATCTACTCTTTGGAACCTTTCAACTTTTTTGGTTTTCTACTATTATTTACATATAAGTTTCATATACGGTATTTAACACAAAATGTCCCCAGTTTATACAATTTGGCATAGAGCAAAAAAAAGCGTTAAATATTCTAAAATAATAATACCATGTGTACTGAAAACCTTAATTTTAAATGTGTACAAGATTCAGACAGGTTGCCTCGATGCATGGAGTTGGCATGGGGAGCCGGGCCCAGGTAATCTACAGAGCACAATATTCTAGCTCTCCCCAGCCTCCCATGAACTCCTGCTCTTGGCCATGAGGACCACTCTATACAGATCTTCCCATTTATAAAGAAAATATATAAACAGAAATGTTTATATAAATATTGTTTTAAAAATATTGCAATATAATTTTTAAAATTTAAGAACACTGTGTTAGCCAAATAAGTCTTTCTGAAGGTGGTCAGCTGTGAATTCCTATGTAAAGCCCAAACCATGAATCATTTTTCTCTGGTGTCTCACCTCCTATTGGGAGGTCAAACATTTATTGATCCTACCTTGTATGTGATCACTCCCCTCCACTGGCCACCAAAAGCACTGAGTCTGTGTCCCGTAACACATGATGTGGTTTGGCTGTGTCCCCACCCAAATCTCATCTTGAATTGTAATTCCCAGAACCCCTACATGTCATGAGAGGGACCCATGGGAGATAATTGAATCATGGGGGCGGTTACGGTTATGCTTTTCTCATGATAGTGAGTGAGTTCTCATGAGATCTCATGGTTTTATAATGGGCTTTTCCCCCCTTTTTGCTGGGCACTTCTTGTTGTCACCATGTAAGACATGCCTTTGTTCCTTCTTTGTCTTCTGCCAAGATTGTGAGGCCTCCTTAGCCATATGGAACTGTGAGTTCATTAAACCTCTTTTGCTTTATAAATTACCCAGTCTTGGGTATTTCTTCACAACTGTATGAAAATGAACTAATATACACATTATATTTTCTTTGCATTCTATATATTTTATACATGCTAAATTTCTCTATCTTTATTAAAGCATGTATTGCTTTATGGCAGTTGTATACTCATTCTATTATCCCTTGCACTGGCTAGCTAATGCATCCACTAGACAATTAGCACAATAAAATTGTATGGCGTAACCCCTCTTCCTCCCTCATATTAAAATTAACATACATACAGATTCAGCTAAATGCCAACTAAAGAAAGCATGAGAAGAAAGTCAGTCAAAATGATGCAGGAAGGAATGATAAGCTTTACCCTTAGGAGAATTTGCATATGAAGAACCATCTTCTTAACTCCTAAACCTGTATATATGGTCAACATTGAATTAATGTGGGTCTATGTTACCTCTATCATGGTTACCAATATTCCCTTTGAGAGATAATGTTCATAATGGGCCTGCATGAGCTTCTCACTCTAGATTTCAAGCTTCTGAAGTCAGAAACCACTTGGTATTTTCTCTAGGATTTGGGAAGAAAGCACAGGTACCAAATAGAAGGAATTTGTCCTTGTTCCTTCCTTCCTCCCCCTACTCATCACTCTCCTCTTGAGAAGAGATTTTGGTGCCTACTCTCAAATTTGGGACGAAATATTTCATATGATTGCTTTTTAAATTGAACTTTTCATCTGTTTATTTGTTTAAACATACTTTAGAGGAAATTATGTTAATGAATCTTTTTGGATTTGATAGTCATATTCTCTTTCATTACGTGATTTCAAGTTCCTCAGTACTTTCAGTACTTTTTTGCATGTAACTCAGCTTTTAATCATACTTGAAGTGATTACCAGATTAGGGGAAAGTAAGAGGAAGGGTCACAGTTTGGAATAAGACTCTTATATATATGTAAAGGAAAAAAAGTCACAAATGTAAACAATGATGATGATAATAATCATAATTATAATTTATTGAATATTTACCATGTCCATAATTAAGTGATTATTTATTAATTCATCTAATCTTTCTAGCAACCCTTTGAAAAAGTGTTATCTCTATTTTACATATGAGACAAGTAATGCTTAACTAGTCTAAGGATACAGAGTTAATAAATGCATAGTACAAGATTCAAACTCAAGCAGTCTAACTCCAGAGGCTTCCAGGACCCTTAACCATGCAATACACTGCCTTTCACCAAGGAGAACAAAGTGTTTTCAATATTAGAATGAATGTACTACATCAACTACATAACACTGTTATTAAGTCCAGCAAGTAATGAGGCTCTTGGGCAATTATTTAAGTACAACTATTAATAAGCTCATACTGAGAATGTCTAGCTCGTCCTCCACAAGTCTAAAGGAGCTTCTGATCAAACAGTAAAACATGACATAAATCCCACAGCCTGCAATGTGACTAAGATATACTGCTCCAACAATACATTTTGTTCCAGGGAACTTAAAAAAAATCACATTTCTTTAGCAAATCCTTTTAGTTAGGTAAAATGGTATCTAACTAAGCATTATAGATCTCTATGGGACCCAAGGGTCACATTAGTAATCCAATTAAAACCATTTCCCTCTGTCCACTGGAGAAATCAGCATTGTTCTTCACAACAGAATCCTGTCTTAACAAAGGGCTCTGGTGCTCTCTTATTTTATTTAAATAGCCTCATGGGGCCCTATACTATAGTGATATTTATAGTGCTTAGAGGTTTCAGTTTGTAAAATATTGCACTTATCTGGAAATAGAGGAGAGTGGGGACAGGTAGGGGAGGATGACAGGTATAGATGAGGGCAATAGTAAACATTTAGTCAGAAAATAAGTTCCAGAATATGGTATTGCTATTTTCTCTTATTCTTTCTTTTTTTTTTAACTAGAAGATTGGGATCTACAAATAAAACTATGAAAAATGTGAAATATGAGTTTTGCTCTTATTAAATTTTGAGTCTAGTTTTCTATAACTCATAAAGAGACTGAAGTGGGTGCAATGGAGATCAACAATTATAATTTCAAGTAACACCCTTGAAGAAGTGCTCAGGGAGTGAGAAATTATTTAGTGTGAAACAGAGAAGATTGGGGCATAATTTAAACATTGTTCAAAGATATGAAGAAAAATTATTCATCTCCTTTCCATTGAGAACCTAACAGCAGGAAATGGGCTTTTGCTGCTATCTGAGGAATTCATGTTATTATAGAAAATAGTTTCCTCTGGCAAAAGTTTTTAGGTATTTTTTCAGGGTTACATTGTTGAAAGTGGTTTGCAGATCTCTTTGTCTGAAGGTCTTTAAACACAGAATGTTTCCTCATCAGTTCGTTGTTGTTTATATGTAATTCTACAAAACATGTAGGGATAAAAATGATGGCATTTCCTGAATTCTTATTGCCTTAGAAATAGTCAGGATCATTTTTTTCTATAAACTATTATGAGAATAAATATAGTAAAATATATCATATTTTTAATACTTCATCTTTTGATGCAAATATTTTTTTGCAGACATTTGTGTACACAAAAATGTATATTTTAATATGCACATATAAAACTAAAATGATAAAATCATATAAATAAATACTACTTTAGGAAAACCTTGTAAAATGTTGTGCACTATAACTTGACCTTGCAAACAGAGGAACTCACCCACAAATATAATGAAGGCACTTCCTTGTCAAAATAAACTAAGTAAACATTGATTTATGCTGTTCTGAAATGTTACGCTCAGGGATACTGCCTGCTTACCCCCTCTCCTCTCTCTGCACATGCACTCTGATTTGGGAATCACTGCTCAGGGGCATCCTTAGCAAAAGGCTCTGAGTGTTCTCTGAGCTAGTCTAGGTGTAGTCTGTGACTAGAGTTCTCTGCATTCAGGCTGCTGGACTAAAAACATGACTCACAAATGAGGTGTCTCTGACAGCTTTTAAAAGCTATCATTTGGTTGTGTTGAGAATTTTTTCTTTTATTCCATAGATGAGGATAATACGTTTTAAAATTTGTATACTTCCTTTTTGGTACCATACACCACCCAGGATCAACCACTTTATTTTCCAATTTTAAGGACACTGAGATCTCATTAATTAGAACAGCTAATATAAATTTAAAGTTTATAATAATTTGGAAAAGGGGCTGATTGGAAATTATTTGTACTTAGCAAATCTTTCCCGCAAATTGTTCTAAATTGCAGCTTGAGCTAAATTGCAGGAGGAATGCTTAAAATACTTAAGTGAATGGGTGATTTTGAAGCACTTTTAGAAACGCCCACATACTTACAATATACATGCTAACTTGAAAGCATTTCTATTTTTTTAGACTGAGTTCCTTAGCACCTCTACAAAGAGTTTCTTAGGCTAGTTTGGAATATCTTAGTAAAAACTAATATATTTATATTCATTTTTAAAATTATGCCATTATTTTACTTTCACTCCGCTCTGATTGATTTTTTTCCCTGTTTGGTCAACATTTGTAAAGTTTTTTATTTTTAGTTTTTGTATTTCAATAGGTTTTTGGGGAACAGGTTGTGTTTGGCTACATGAATACATTATTTAGTGGTGAGTTCTGAGATTTTGGTGCACCCATCACCTGAGCAATGTTCACCGTACCCAATGTGTAGTCTCTTATTCCTCCCCACCCCCTACCCTTTCCCCTGAGTCCCCAGAGTCCAATATATCATGGCAAGGTTTTATCATATTTTTGTGTTGCCATAAAATGATTGTCAAGTAGATTGTTAAATTTGACCAGTCTTCAAAGTGTTACAGAGGGAACGCTTTCATATACATTATTTCTTGAAAAATCAACCCCACTTAAATTCTACTCAAGAGACTTTTATTGATATATCTTTCTCTGATCACCTGTATTGAGGACCTACTGTATGTCAGACATTGTGCTTAGTTATAAGAAGTAAAGTATTTAAGACAGACATACTTTCTGACCCCATTGAGCTTAACAGAGGATATAGCTAAGAGAAATGAGATAAAGTTAATCAAAACTGTCATAGAAGTAATAGGTGTGCAGATTCAAAGAAAGACTACTAAGAGGAAGGGATGTCCACAGAAAAACATTAGTGTAATTTAAATAATCTGTGACAAATGAAATGAAGAGTCTACTAGGCAGGAGGTAATAGTCTATGTAGAAGTCCAGGGCCTTTGGACAATTGAAGGTAGATGTGTTTGTCTAGATTGTTGCATGGGAGGGGAAAGTGAATCATGTCAGCCTTTTAAAGAATATCATATTCATCCTGTGGGTAATTGGGGGTCCTTCAAGCATTTTAGAAAGGGTAAGCATGTTCAGATTTATTTATTTTTTAAGATTGTTATATTTGGTATGTGGGAAATGATTGGAGGGAATAAAACCAGATTCAAAACATGAAAATGGAGACTTGTTGAAATCATACAGGCAGTACTTGTATATCTAAATAATGACCTAGAGTAGTATCAGTATGTTGGCAAGAAATAGAAAGGGAAGGAATGAGATGTATTAATTTACAGAGTGTTGGATGGTAAGAGAGAACAGTAAGATAATTTCAGTTTTGAACATATTCGATTGCATGTATGAAAGGGATATTCAGTACACAGTTGAAAATGTGTATATGAATCTCTAGAGAAAAAAATGTACTGGTAACCCAAAACATGGAGTTATCAGCCTGGCAATGATCACTAAAGCTGGAGAGTAGAATATATTCACAGAGAAAGAAGAGCAATAGCCTAGTATAGACCCATAAGAGATGTTTAAGTATGAGGGAGAAGGGACTGCTATGTTTTACACTTTAACATCCCTTGTATTAGTTGTTCCTTAACCCATGGTATCACACCTGTGGCTTGAGAAGTAAATCATTTATAAGAAAGTCTAAACTCTGAATGTAAATGGTTTTTTTTCTTTTTTTCAAGAAATTTGATTATGAAGGAGTTGGAGGGGTTATGAAGTTAAAGAGTATTTTTTTTAACGGGAGAGACTAGAACCACTTTTAATATTGATAAGAAAGTGGGATTATCCTCTCAGTAGTAAGGAGGAAAGATGGCTTTCATCTCAGTAGGAGGGATATAGGAAAGAATAGGACAGATGCTAGTAATATCTCCTTCCTTAAATTCCCTCTCCTGTGGCATATTTAGCATAACATAATTTAGCTTTTCTAAGGCATTCTCTTGTATTACTTTATTATACATGTTAGTCTTGTCTATTAATTGCTTCTAAGTGCCTTGAAAGCAGGAGATCACAGTTTGCACCATTTCCTGCAGTGAGGCTAGAGATGTTGCTCAGCATCATCCCCAAATGAGTCCTACAAAGCAGAAGACAAGATGTTTGTTTTTCTTTCTTATAGAAACTGTTCTAACAGATCATGAAAATGCAATGTGAACCGAAGTCCCTGTCTTTTATTTTTTTAAATACAGGTTTCATGGCTACTCTGAGGAAAAATCAGAAACGCTCTCTAATCTGTGATTCAAATAATCCTGCTCCTTTGTCTTTATATCTATATCTTTACTTATATGTATATCAGTATCTCTATATACCTATGTGTCTATAAAGCTCCAGAGAAAAAAATAAACTGATGATCCAAATCATGGTGTTATCAGCCTGGCAGTGGTCACTCAAGCTGGGAAGTAGAATATATTCACTGAGGATACATAGATACATAGAATCGATAGGTACAAAAATACAAAGAAATATGTAGATATATAGATTAGAAAGAGATTGGTCCACCTTTCCTAAATAAATAAAAGCAAAATTTATTTCATCAGAATTTTATAATTTCTGACTAGCATGAGGGGAGAAAAAAGGTCCCTATGTTCTTCTTCTTCATTGGTGCTTTCCAGTCTAGCCCACAAACACCCAATTGAACAGTTGTGGGACCCCTCCAATGCAAGCAAGGCCAGCCTGGGACTCAGGACATTTCTTATTAAGGGCAATTCTCACCTTAAGGGAGATGAATAAAGCAGGCTGGATATTATTTGGACAATACACTGAATAGTGAACAAAGGATTTGTGAAGCCCCTTGACCCTTGTCTGGCAGTGGTATCCTGATATTCTAATTTTGATACAGTTAAAAGAATCTGAGAACAGTCATGACCAAAGCAAGGAGACAGCCATAAGTTTGGCAGATACTGTTTTAGTGATGCTAATGCAGTGATGAACTTACAAATACTACATCATTTGTGGATTGGTTTCTAAAGTGTTTTAAGATGTGAGACATGTTTTCTGCTAATAGTTAAAAAATGTAGCATTTATAATTGTACATCCAGAGCTAGAAAACACACCAGGTCCCACTGTTGAGATATGCCAGGGTTTTTTATTTGTTTTTGACTTAAGGAACCAATGCAGACAAACGATAAACAGTAACAACGTTCAAAACCTTTTACAACAGAGCGTTTCAATTATTTTTGCTCCCCGCTGTCATTCTATGTAAGCGTCGTGGGCAACAGTATTCTGCATTTCACTTACATCTCTGTGCTTTTGTTTTCTGCCTACTTTTCCAAAAATTTTATCTTTAAGTAAATGCTCCTGAAACGGAGTCCACAGTATTCACTTGCCATTGTCTTCCTTACTGAGCTGCTGCTCCCTCTCTTTCTCCTGACCACCAAAGGAACAAGTAGTTAACATTCACTGTTTCTCTGCTTCAGGTTCCCTCTTCCATAAATAATTGATTGATACCTGAGTTTTCTTTATGACATTTATGAAAGAGAAGAGAGAGGAAAAGAAAGGTAGCTTGAAAAAAAATGTATTTTATTTAGGTGAAACAGATTTGGCTTCCCAAATCCCTTTTTCTACATTGAATTTTAGCTATTGGAAAATATTGTGCTGTGCACATGAATCAGCCTGCACACAGATACATGCTGCTCTGTATGTGGAATCTGGCTCCAAGGTGCTATTTGACAGCTTGTATTTGCTTACTAACCATCCCGCAGCAGGGAGATGTTTGGGCTTGGAATAAAAGTTGTTTATAGACGTGAAAGTTTTCCATTGGCACTGACTGTGTAAACATTTAGAATTGTGCAAGGTCTGGTTACAGGAGACATTATTCAGAAAATTTTTCACCAGAGCATAACTATTTATCTCATTCATCAACAAAGCTATTTTTCTTCTTCCTATTTTCTTCCACACCTAAATGGAGCGAAATTTGGAGTGAGCCCGAATCATAGAAGTATCCTCGTCTATTTGTAGAACTGTATTTCACTCTTCCCATATAATATGTTTTCTTTTTCCTTAAAATCTTCAAAGAGATTGATTGTACAAGTCTTATTATCCCATTCTTATGACTAGCACTTGATTTGTTTGTAGACATTGAGTGACAAATGCAGTGCTTAATTTAACAGAGAAATCTAACGATATATTTTCTTATAAAACTATCCCCTTTTTGTCTGGTTCTTAGTGGAAATTGAACAATTGCTCGAGCCAGCCCTAAAATATGATTTTAAAAACTAATATGTTTGGGGAGAATTGAGTAATGAAGTGTCATATTTTGCTCTTGGTGTTTAAAGCTGCTGTCATACATTGTGATGGTCTGTCCTGGTAAACGAGGCTCCCAGCATTCTTGCAGAACATACCTTCTTACTAAAGCCCTTGCAGTAAATTCACTCTGTATTAATTACCTCCTCTCCTAGTGGCAGACATACTATTTCCTGAATGCTTTCATCAGCGTCTCTGGGTAATTCATTGCCCAGAAAATGCCTCTTACCTGTCTATTATAGACCTCATCACGTGTATTAAGAAGATTACAAATATTATATTTTCTATTATTACTAAAATCTTATTTTAAAAAAATTCTGTGAGGACACATAAGATAATTTATATTTATCATGGTGACTCAATCTTCTAGTGACTCCTTTAAATACTACAACACATAGTATTTTTTAAAGTATCTTATTTCACTTTTAGACTTTTACCTATTTATTTTCAATATCACTTTCTCTTTTTCCCTTGCAAAACTGAGTTTCATTCTTGTTAAAATAAAAGGCTTTGGGAATTGTGTCCTTGTGCCCTGATAAGGTACATAGAATTTCAATTTCAGTCCTTTTGTTTAGGTGTTGAAAATCTACTCAGAGAATGCATAAAACCCGAAATATTCCCATCATCTTTAAGGCACCAGGAAAAAAGGGAAGTGAGCATTGTTGTTTGATTTCTAATTGGATAAATTCAGCTGTTCTATGTTTCAAATTCATCTTTTTGTTGAGTTGCCAGGTATATATCCAGGTTAAGCGACAGGAGATCCCTGGAGCTGCTGTTCTCTCCAACTTCTATCGTGTCCCGCACATTTTCCTGCACACTTCAGTTTGGCTCCAACTACTACTCCTTCACTAAACAGCTCTCCATTCTCTCCATTTGGCTAAACACATTTGTCAAATTTCAGATCTCATCTTGCTTGATTCTTAGCAGCTGTCTCCATTGCCTATGACTACTTTGAAATACAATGTTCCTTGAGTTCTCCTCATCCCTCTCTGATGAGTCCTTCTAAGGGTCCTTAACAGCTTCTTACTGAATTTTAAATCTTGGCTTTTTTTCAAGGTCCTGCCCTAAGCTTTTGCTCTCCTTTTCTATACTTTATCCTTTGGAAATCTGAGCTAGGGCTAATAGCTTTATTTGTCATTTATGGTTGATAATTCTCAAATTGACACCCCTATCCCAGAGCTTCTTAAAATAATCTGCAGCACATACATCCAACTGAATGTATTATACGCACTGAAGGTTCAACATGTCCGGAACTGAGCACATGATTCTCTCTGCCTATCCAGCCCCTACCAAAAAGATTATTCTTCTCCATCATAGTGAATGAACCCCAATTCAACCAGAAACCCAAGTCATTCTTAACTCTTTTCTCTTTATCTCCTTTCTTAGCTAATCATCCATCACTATCTCCATTCTACCTCCAAAATAAATCAAATTCAATCTACCTCTCCTTATTTCCAAAGTCATTACTTTTTCCTGAGCCACCATTATTTCTCACTTGAAATAGTGCCATAGCTTTATAAATGATCTCTAATTTTATTGTTGATCCTCTTTAATTTGTTCTTTATACTGCTGTTAGAGAATTTCCTTTATAAAAGACACATCTATGTAATCATGTTGCTCCTAGGCCTTAAAAGTTGCTCAGTGTCTACGCGGTTGGGAACTTGGCCTACAAGGGCCTGTAAATTCTGACTCTTACCTATGTTTCCAGCTTTGCCTGCCACTACTCTTTATCACATCATTCCTCCAACAATACTGCCCATGCTTTAATTCCTCCAATATGGTATGCTTCTCACTCCAGGGCCTTCTTATATGCTGTTTTCTCTGTCTATATGATTTTTCCGTTCTTGTTTTTTTAATTAATTATTCTTTCAGAGCTCAATTATTTCCTGCTCATAGATGCTTCCCTAATAATACAGATTAAATCAGGTGCCTTGTTAAATACTCTGATTAGATCTTGTTATGCAGTGAATGTCTGTATTCTGCTAAATTTATATGTTGAAGCTTAAACCCCTAGAGTAGCTATATTTGGAGATGGAACCTCTAAGGAAGTACTTAAGGTTAAATGAGGTCATAAGGTTGGAGCCCTAATTAAAAAAGATTAATATCCTATTAAGAAGAGATACCAGAGAACTTGTTCTCCTTCTTTTTCCTTGTACATTCACCAAGGAAAGGTCATATGAAGTAATGGTGAGAAGGCAGATATCTGCAAGCTAGGAAGAGCGCTCCCACCAGAAGTCTACTCTGCCAGACCCCGATGTTAGACATCTAGCCTCCAGACCTTGACGTTAGACATCTAGCCTCCAGAACTATAAGAAAAAAGTATCTAGTGTATGGTGTTTTGTTATGGCAGCCCAAGATGACTAATACAGGACTTGTACTTTCTCTATGTAGCACTCATCATGACTCTAAATAACTAACTTTTTTTCTTATTTTTATAATTTCAACTTTTATTTTAGATACAGGTGGCACATGTGCAGGTTCATTACCCGGGTATATTGCATGATGCCGAGATTTGGTGTATGATTGATCCCATCACCTAGGTAGTGAGCATAGTATCCAGTAGTTTGTTTTTTAACCATTGCTCCCCTCTCTCCTTCCCTCCTCTAATAGTCCCCAGTATCTAATGTTGCCAACTTGTCACTGAGTATCCAAAGTTTAGCCCCCACTTATAAGTGAGAACTTGTTGTATTTGTTTTTCTCTTTTTGCATTAATTCACTTAAGATAATGGCCTCCAACTGCATCCATGTTGCTACAGTGGACATGAGTTCATTCTTTTTTATGGCTGCATAGTATTCCATGGTGTATGTGTACCACAGTTTCTTTATCCAATGCACCATTGATGGGTGCCTAGGTTGATTCCATGTCTTTCTTTGGTGAATAGTGCTGCAGTGAATATACAAGGGTATGCGTCTTTTTTGGTAGAATAATTTATTTTATTTTGGAAGTGTGCCAAGTAATGGGATTGCTGGGTCAAATGGTAGTTCTGTTTTAAGTTCTTTGAGACATTCCAAATTGCTTTACACAGTGGCTGAATAAATTTACATTCCCACCAACCCTTCCCTTTTCTCTGCAGCCTCACCAGCATCTATTATTGTTTTGCTTTTTAATAGCCATACTGACTTGTGTGAGATGGTATCTCAGTGTGGTTATGATTTGTATTTTTCTGATATTTAGTGATGTTTGGCATTTTTTCATATGTTTGTTGGTCTCGTGATGTCTTTATTTGAGAAATGTCATATATGTCCTTTGCCCCTTTTTAAAGAGGTTTTTTTTTGCTTGTTGGATTAAGTTCTTTATATACTCTGGATATGAGGCCTTTGTTGAATGCATGGTTTGTTAATATTTTCTCCCATCCTACAGGTTATCTGTCTACTCTGTTTCTATTGTTGTGCACAAGCTCTTTTGTTGAATTAGGTCTGACTTGTCAAATTTTGTTTTTGTTGCAATTGCTTTTGAGCACTTAATGATAAATTCTTTCTCAAGGCCAATGTCCAGAATGGTGTTTCTTATGTTTTCTTCCAGGAGTTTTGCAGTTTGAGGTCTTACATTTAAATTTTTAATCTATCTTGAGTTAATCTTTGTATATGTTGAAAGAAAGAGGTCCAGTTTTATTATTCTGCATGGGGCTAGCTAGCTGTCCCAGCACTATTTATTGAATATGAAGTCCTTTTCTCATTGCTCATTTTTAATGAGTTTCTCAAAGACCAGTTGGCTGTAACTGTGCAGCTTTATTTCTGGGTCCTCTATTCTGTTCCATTGGCTTATGTATTTATTTTTGTACTAGTACCATGATGTTTTTTTAATGTAGCCTTATAGTGTAGTTTGAAGGTGGGTAAAATGATGCCTTCATTTTGTTCCTTTTGGGTGGGATTGCTTTGGCCATTTGGGCCTTTTTTGGTTCCACATGAATTTGAGAATAGTTTTTTTCTAATTCTGTGAAAAAAGACATTGGCAGTTTGACAGAAATAGCATTGAATCTGTAGATTGCTTTGGGCAGTATGGCCATTTGAACTATATTGATTCTTCCAATACATAAGCATGGAATGTTTTTCCATTTGTTTGTATCATCTATGATTTCTTTCAGCAGTGTTTTGTGGTGCTCTGTATGGGGATCTTTTGCCTTCTGGGTTAGATGTATTCCTAGGTATTTTATTGTTTCTGTGGCTATTGTAGATGGGATCAAGTTCTTGATTTGGCTCTCAGCTTGAATGTTATTGGTGTATAGAAATGCTACTGATTTTTGCACATTGATTTTTGTATCCCAAAATTTTACTGAAGTTGTTTATCAGTTCCAGGAGCCCTTTGGGAGAATCTTTAGGTTTCTTTAGATATAGAATTCTGTTTTCCACCAAAATAGATAATTTGACTTCTTCTTTTTCTATTTGGGTGCCTTTTATTTATTTCATCTGCCTGATTGCTCTGGCTAGAATTCCTAGTACCGTGTTGAACAGTTGTGGTGAGAGTGAGGATTCTTATCTTATTCCAGTTCTCAGGGAGAATGCTTCCAGCTTTTGACCACTCAGTATGATGTTGGCCGGGGGTTTGTCATAGATAGCTCTTATTTTGAGATATATTCTTGATATGGTTTGGCTCTGTGTTCCCACTCAAATCCCATCTTAAATTGTAATCCCCGTGTGTTGAGGTAGAGACCTGGTGGGAGGTGATTGGAATATGGGGGTGGTTTTTAATGGTTTAGCACCATCCTCCTACTGCTATCTCATGACAGAGTTCTCATGAGATCTAATGGTTTAAAGGTGTAGCACTTTTTGCCTTGCTCTCTCTCTCCTGCTACCATGTAAGACATGCCTTTGTTCCCCTTTGCCTTTTGCCATGATTGTAAGTTTTCTGAGGCCTCCTCAGCCATGTAGAACTATGAGTCACTTAGACCTCTTTTGTTTATAAATTACCCAGTCTCAGGTAGTTCTTTGTGGTAGTGTGAGAATGAACTAATACAGTTCCTTCAATGCCTAGTTTGTTGAGAGTTTTTATTATGAAGGGATATTGGGCTTTATTAAACACTTTTTCTGCATCTATTGATATAATCATACAGTTTTCATTTTTGATTCTGTTTATGTGGTGAATCTTATTTATTGATTTGCATTTGTTGCACCAACCTTTTATCTCAGGAATGAGGCCTAATTGACAGTGTTGTACTAAGTTTTTGATGTGCTGCTGGATTTGGTTTGCTTTTTTTTTTTTTGAAGATTTTTGGGTCTATGTTCATCAGGCACAATGACCTGTGGTTTTCTTTTCTTTCTTTTTTTTTTTTTTTTTTTTTGCTCTTTTGCCAGGTTTGAGTATCAGGGTGATGCTGGCTTCACAGATTAGTTAGGCAGGAGTCTCTCCTCCTTGATTTTTTAGAATACTTTAAGTATAATTGGTACTAGCTCTATTTTGTATAACTGGTAGAATTTGGCTGTGAATCCATCTGGTCTGGGGCTTTTTTTTTTTGTGGTTGGTAGATTTTTTTTTTTTAATTGCTGATTCAATTTTGGAACTCAATATTAGTCTGTTCAGGATTTCAATATCTTCCTGATTCAATCTTGGGGGATTGTGTGTTTCTAGGAATTGGGATTGGTTGTAATGTCACCTTTATTGTTTTTGACTGTGCTTATTTGGATCTTCTCTCTCTTTGTTTCTTTCTCTCATTGTATCAACAGAGTCTTGCATTGTCGCTCAGGCTGGAGTAAAACTGTGAGATTTTGGCTCACTGCAACCTCCACCTCCTGGGTTCAAGCGATTCTCCTGCCTCAGCCTCCTGAGTAGCTGGGATTATAGGTGCTTGCCACCACGCCTGGCTAATTTTTTTGTATTTTTAGCAGAGATGAGGTTTCACTATGTTGGCCAGGCTGGTCTCGAACTCCTGACCTTGTGATCCACTCACCTCAGCCTCCTAGGTGCTAGGATAACAGGCGTGAGCCACCATGCCTGTCCTTCTCTCTTTCTATGTTAAGGTAGCTGGTGGTCTATTGAGCGTATTTGTCTTATCAAGAAACCAGCTTTTGGTTTCATTGATCGTTTGTATGAATTTTGGGTCTCAATTTTGTCCTGACACTAATTATTTAATCAGTCCTTTAATGGCTGCATCTTCTTGATGGAAGATAGCCTGCATGAGGGCTAGAATTGGGTTCATCTTGTTCAGCACTTGGCCTCCAGTGGCTGTGTCATGGGTCTTCAATAAGAAAGTATAGTTTTTGAGTGAATGTTCAGGAAGAAAGGACATTCCGATGATTAACTCCTGGGAAATGATTAGTTAGAAAAACAGAACTTCCAAATCATAAGCAGAAATAAGGCACAGAAAGGATTGTAAAATAGCAGACAGTAGGGCAATAAAATAAGTCCATTGCAGGAGGACAGCCTGGAAATTCAAAAGCATTTCTATCCATTGTTAAAATAAATACATAAATACAGTTCAAAATTCAGCATAATTTCATCGTATTTCAACACCTTTTATCCATGCATTTATCCCCATAATTCTCCTACAAAACCTGTTATTTGGAAATAAATAGAAAACTATTGGCAGTGCCCAAATACAGCAACTTAAAATTAAAGCAACTTGAACATATTGCTTATTTACTTTATCCACCTGAAATAATCTCCTCCCTCCTCCCTTTTATCTAGTAGACAAACTCAACTTTTAAGTCAGAGGCTCCCAACTTTGAGACTTCTGGATGAGTTCCAGAGAGTATGTGTGAACCCTCTAAAATTTTATACTCCTTTTGTATGAATGCATGAATACGTGTTTTTGTAAGAAAGGGGTACGGGAAGCTTGGAAGATGGCTTCAGTGATTTGGGAATCCAAAAAATAAACTGGGAAGAGGTAATTTGACTACTGGTAAATGACGATTGCAACCACCAAGGGGAAAGAATGGGGAACCCCCTTTTTCCCTAATGTGTCATGCTCAGAGAACAGTGCCTAGGAATGTTGTCTGGAATGGAAATTGTCACCTTCTGCCTTCTGCTCCCGTTTTCTATTCTATATTTATTGCCTCACCTCTTTTTCCCTTTACTTCCCTTTAGGTTTAAATTAGCCATTCGCTGCCTTGCGGTCTTCAGGGTAGTAAAAGTTCAGTATTAATCAAGTAATTAAAATTTGAACTCTGAAACTAAAAGCTGAATGACAGTTGTACTGCTAACCAGAAATTTCTAGTCAGTGGTAAAATATTGAATGATTCAAGTGGAAAGATATATAACAAAACTATTATTAGAGCTATTAGGCTTAAAATATAGTTATTTGACATGAAAGATTATTCAAATGCATGCATAGCTGAAAAATTTACAATGATTTGACTTCTCTGGCTAAAATAGTTGCTCAAATTTATAAGATTTTTTTAATTTTCCATATTTTGCTGACTTAATAATTTTAGGTTATATAAAGTTGAACTAACATATATTAGTGTAAAATATGGTTAATGCATGTACAGATTTAAAATGAGTTAGCTGAACCAAATATATCTTGTCTAATATCCATTTGAAATACATAATCACTTAGGGTAATGTATGCCTAGAAACAGAAATATATTAGGCCTAGAGTAAAACCAAGCCACTCATATTATCTAAACAAAGACTTTTATTTCCTGTAGTACCTACCAGGTATCATTTACCTGTTTCCTTATTAAGAGAACGATAACATTAATGGTGTTAGGAGAGCACTTAACTAAAATAATACATTTTTCCTTTTTCCTGTAGGCAGTGGTGGCTAATTAGACATAAGTAGGAGTTATTGGGCAGACTTTTGAGAGTACTCTAAAAGGTGGCTAAGCCATCTGAGACAATGCCCCCATTTTACTTTCATTTTTCTCTTCCTATTCAAAACATTAAAGTAATGACTGAACCATCAGCATCTTGTAACATGGAGGCAGTGTTGAGGATGGAACTACACAGTAGTGATAGATATGCAGATAAAGGTGACAAATCTTGGGCGCAATCGTGACAACAAGTAGTAGTCTTCAGTAGCCTTGTTGTCACCATTTTACTGCCTACCTTCAGGTTTTTCCAAGGGCAAAAAATAAACTCCTATCTAATTTAAGCTATTAGTCTGGCTGGCAGCCAAATCAACTTCTAAGTAATACCTTCTCCAGTTAAGAATGTGGCTGAATTATTAAAAAAAAATTAACATTGGTAGCTAAAGTAATGGTGACTGCACAAATTTGAAAGTCTCCACTCATCTTACTAAAAACCCTACAAATCAACCGGAAAAAAAGTTCATACAATTCCATGCCTCCATCATTACTAGAAAACAGAATTTTTTTAACCATAAATGTAAACATCAATTTCCAAACAAGCTCTCTCTTGAGATCTTGCTGGATGCCTTTGCATAGAAAAAAAAAAAAAAAAGAAAAAGTAAAGAAAGACAAAGCTAAAATCATCTCCATTAAGAAAAGTCCACCCCCAAAGTGAAAATTTGAAGCATTAAATCCCATAGCTTAAAATAATATTAGAAAGGGACTTAAAACATGGAACTTGAGGAGGTGTTAAGAGACTGGATGAAGGCAGAGGTGGCATTAAGAGACTGAATGAGAAAAAGGAAAAGAAAAAGGGGAGAAAATTTAGGATTCTGAAAAACAAAAGAATCCAAAGTTTTCCCCTAGCAATCTCCCCCAAAAGCTATTTATTAAGGAAACTGCATTTAACTGCACTCATGTAAGAGGGGACCCAAAACTAGAATTCCTTCCATCAACCCCCAAATTTTAACCCCATTCATGTAATGCATAGACACAAGCAACATTTATCTATTCAAAGCCACTATCAAAAGGAAACAGAAAATTACAACTTTTTACCTGATGAAAAAATCTTCTCTAAAATCAAATATGAAAAAAAGGAGAAATCTCTGCCCTAACACTCTGAACTAAATCAAGTATATCAAAACCACATTTGGGGATATGTTAAAAAACAAAAACAAAACAAAAACAAACATGGAAAAATCATTAGTCTGAAATAAAAAGCCTAAGAATAGAAGTGGACAAAAAAAAAAAAAGAAAAGAAAAGAAAGAAAATGAGAGTTGTTAGAATTCGAGAAAGACATAGATAACAAGGCAAGAAGCTTTTGAGAAATGACAAACTTACAAAATGCTCAAAGTGAATACAGATTGAAATAAATATTTAGTAAGAGGTATTGAAAAAAAGCCAGAAAATAACCAACAGAATGGAAATGGGAGTTAGCCACAAAATGTAAAAGGAACCAGAGAGAAAGTAACTGAAATAGAAGACTAGCAAAAAATAGAGTCTTTGAAAAGGATAAACAAAGCAATGTATCCTAATTAACATTTAACACTATAAGAATACTTTCCAGGAAAAAACACTTGTATCTTTATATTGAAAGGGTCTTATGGCTATCTGGAAAAATTAGAAATTGATCTTGGACTATAAACTCTATTAGTTCCATCAGTCTATTTATCCATCCCTGTATACATACCACAAACTCATATTTACTACTTTGATATAATATATATGGAAATCTGGTATTATGAGTACTTCAACTGTGTAGTTTTTCATTGTCTTTATTCCATTTGTATTTCCATAGAAGTTTTTAAATCAGCCTTTCATTTTCCCTAGTAAATTGTCCTCATTTCATTAGAATCTCATTGAATCTATATATTAATTTGGTAAGAACAAATACATTTACAATAATTGTGTCTTCCATGAATATGGTATGTCCTTATAATTTCTCTTAATAGTGCTTTATAGTTTTCAAATACTAAAAAACAGTATTTATTTTAGTTTGTATGATTTAAAAATAAATATATAAAATAATTTAAATACATTTCTTTTTAAAATTACTTGGTTGATAGACTCTGAGTACATATTGATAAATATGGTAGTGCACTCATTTAAAAAATTGTTTTTTTACTTTATCCCTTTCATCTCTCTATTGTAGTGCACTCATAATCTATTTCTCCCTTGAGTACAAAATCTAAGAATTCTAAACATTAGCATCAAGAATGTAACTTTTTTTTGCCATTTTTGATGCCAAAACACAAAACTATTTCAACCTAAATTTTAATATGCAATTAATATGTATTTTGATATCTAATACAAAACATGATAAAATATCCAATGTTTATCAGCAAATACATACTTTGTTATATAACTAGTGTTTCTTTGAATCATTTGTACCAAAAAATTGCCAAATTTTGTCTTCTTATATGCTCATATTATAAATATTTTAAGAAGCATAATAGTTTAATAAATTTGGTAGTGTAATGGAAATTTATTGTCTCTCAGTCCTGGAGCCTGAAAGTATGAAATCAAGGTATCAACAGGGTTGGTTTATTCTGAGGGCTGTAAAGGACAATCTGTTCCATGCTTATCTCCTAGCCTCTGAAGGTTTCCTGGTAATCTCTGTCATTACTTGGCTTATAGACACATCACTCCAGTCTCTGCCTTCATGTTCATGTGTCATGCTCTCTGTGTGTCTATTTCCAAGTTCTCCCTTTTTATAAGAACACCATTCATATTTACTCCAGTATAAACTAATTTGTTTTGTTTTTCTTTTTTACAGTTTTATTGAGGTATAATTGACAACTAAAAATTGTATATATTTGAGGTTTGCAATGTGATATTTTGATATATGTCTACATTGTGAAATGATTACTATAGTCAAGATAATTAATATAAACATCACCTCACACAGTTACCTCCTTCTTTTGATGGTAAGAATATTTAAGATTTACGCTCTTAGAAAATTTCAAGTATATAATACATTACTATTAAGTATAGTTACCATGCTATATATTAAGTCTCCAGAGCTTATTCATCTTATAACTGCAAGTGTATACATTTGACCAAACCCCATTTTATCTCCCCACTTCCCCTTCCTTCTCCTCTCCTGGTAACCGCCCTTCTACTATGTTTCTATGAGTTCAACTTTTTTAGATTTTAGATATATAAGTGAGATCACGAAGTATTCACTTTTCTCTGTCTGGCTTATTTCACTTAGCAACATATCCTCCAGGACCATCCATTTCTTCACAAATGGTAGTATTTCTTTCTTGTTTATGCTGAGTAATATTCCATTGCATATTCATATCACATTTTCTTTATTTATCTGTTGATAGACACTTAGGTTCATTTCATATCTTGGCTATTGTGAATAACGCTGCTAGTTACATCTTAAATGACTAAGGTCACATCCGGAGACACTGGGGACTAAGGATTCAATATGTGAACTTTGAAGCGGACACCATTAAACACATAAAAACAATTACTTCAGTATTGTAAATACTTGAAACATGCAAGTTTTAAATATTAACTCAAATCCCTACTTTATCATAAGACATACAAAAATTAAGAATAAAACTATAAAATTTCCAGGGAGAAACCAGGAAATTTACACAACTCAATTAATGTTAAGAAATACTGCCTTGTTTGAAAGTGAAGTATCCTTTTTGCATTTGACTGAAAAGCTTATGGTCCCTCAAGGTAGAATATAAACTTACCTACTTTACTACATATCCTATTTTGTTTTACAATGATCCTGAGTAGGTCTATTTTCCTTATTATACTACAAATTTTGTAAGTTAATTATGTAAAATTTTGTTTTCAATTTAATACCAATGTGCTGTAGATAGTAGGAGTTTAATAATTATTTTTTCAAAGAATGAATGAAAAATGGTGATGATACTGAAAAAGAACTGATTATACAGAAATAATTATATAGAAATATACAAGGGAATGCTATCATTGTGTTTTTTAATACAGCATATATTTCATTTGAGTAAACATTCTTTGCATGGTGTCTTTTATTTCAAATGGTTGCACAAAGTTTGTTAAGTAGATATGTCAGAACTGCTGCACCTTCCACTATATTATACTCCAGGGCGAAACGTGGCATCTGCTACAGAATGCACAACACAACACCAGAATGATTCTATTACCCAGGAGCAACATCAAGTCTGACTGAAAGCATAGTGGCTCAGATTTAGTACAGTCAAAAACTATAATTACCCAAAGATAAATTTGACCAGAAAAGTAGAATTTTGCTATTATTTTGCTAAGAAATCCGTTGACTCTTTTGGGACAACAGTAAAATAACCCTTAGGCATTTAAGTAGATTACGATCAAAGTTACATGCCACTTAATTACACAGAAAAATATTTTTGTAGCTGTAGATTTTATGAAAATATTGACGTTGTGGATTTAATTTTTCAAATATACTGGAATATTCTCCAGTCTTTTAAATTGCAGTGAAAGAGAATTGGTAATAAATGCAATATAAATGCAATAAATGCAATAATAATAAATGCAATAATACAAATGCTGTAGATCCCACAGCCACAATAGGAATCAGCCAAGCATGATCATACTTTTGGTTTTTCAAATTTGAAGGTCACGGCTTTTAGTTTTTTAAGTTTAGGATAATTTTGCACTATATACCATAATAGAGAAAGGTTTCAATATCAAAATACAATATATTTTTCCCAATTTTTATTACAATTGTTGAACAGGAAGATGTACCTACTTATTTTGTAGATTCCAGTACTTTAGTGTGTTTTCCATATTTCAGTTTAAGGTAGCAGAATGAGCACAGTTTTAGTCACCTTGACTTTCCTATAAATGTCATATCAGACATATTCCAGAGCTTACAGGCAGAAGCTCTTTGCTCATTGAGGGAGTTCACAGGTAGATTCTCACCCAGAGATTTAATTATATTTCCATTCAAAACTTTTAGCAAGCACTTAGGATTTATCATCAATTAACAAAACTGCATAGAAGCCAATTTGTCTTTTACAGATATCTTTCCTAGCTTGTTTTTTCTTTTCCATGTTGTTTATACAAGTATAGATTTTTTAAATTATTTTATGATTAAATCATTAATTTTTTTTCTTAAACAAAAGCCCTTCCTTGTTCAAGGATTAAACAAATACATATTTTCATAAGTTAAATGGTATTATACATATAGTGAAGACTTTAAAGTATTTAACTATACCGTACATACAATTCTTTTGTTTCCCAAAGATTATAATCTTCACTTATTAATTTTATAAAAGTGAGCTAGTATCACTAAGAAGAAATAGTGTAAATCTGGGGATTGGGGGAATATAACAAATTCCTGGGCTGCTGGATTGCAATTCCTTGGTAAGAGAGCAATTGAAAAGACATAGTGCTGAGCTTCATCATTGATTATTCCAGGGTTTCAGTTAATATGTCAACATGTTTCCCAAGATTCCACATAATGAGTGTTAAAAAGAATATTTGTGAGAGTGTTGACTTCTTGGATAATTGACACAAAATCTCAATGGAACTGGATTCCAAAGCTTTTGTGCCTACTGCATTAAGGCCAATTCTTTCACCTCTCTTAAAAGGCCCTCTGAGCACCAGCCCTTATACACCTGCATAATTTCCCTTATACTCTCAGAAACTTCTATTCAAAACAGATCACTAAGTGCCCCCCACAAAAACTTTACATTTTTTCTCTTTCATTCCATTGGTCATATTGTTCCTTTGCCTGGTATTATTTCTAACCAGCATGCTAGCTCCTTTGCTAGCCTATCTACCTCTTTCCAACTCCACCTATCAAGAATGAAATCTTGTTCAAGGTGGAGTTCAGAATGTTACCGCCTTCACAAACCTTTTCTTGATTCTAGCAACAAAATATGGTCTTTGCCTCCCCTACACAAGTGTTTATAGCTGTCTTACGCAGCTACATTTTCACCTTAATTATAATTCTGTTTGTGTGTGTGCGTGTTTTCCTTTTCAGCATCTTAAGGATAGAGAAAATATTTGTTTTACACACATTTGGAATTCCAGTTTAAAGTGTTTGGATTAGATTCCATTTACATTAAATTCTGGAAAGCATGAATTAATCTACAGTGATGAAAAATAGATGAGTAGTTTCCTGGGGATGGGGATGGTTGAAAGAGAGGAGGTGTGGGCAGAGAGATTGTTACAAAGGATATGAGGGAAATTTTAGAAAGATGAATATGTTCACTCTCTTATGTTTGGTGATGGCCTCATGGAAGTATACATAGGTCAAAACTTACTATTTAAATATGTGTTATTGTTTGCCAGTTATACTTCAATAAAACTGTTTACAAACCGGTGTTGGTGCGTTAAAGAAAATAGAGTGCTTTGCGAAAGAATATCAGGGCAGTGGGTGGAGACTCTTTTTGGAAATAGCAATGAAGTTTACACCTAACGAATGAGAAGGAACTAAGTTCATGGAATGCCAGAAACAGATTTATCCAGACAGAGGGAACAGCTACAAAATAGTAAAGAACTTGGAGTAGTCCTGAAACTAAGAGGAACAAAGAAAGTCAGAAGTGAGACAAGGGATGGGATTAGAATGGTGTCAGGGGCACCTCAAGATCAAGAGTTTGGATTTTATTTGAAATAAAAAAGGAAATTATTAAAGGCTCTAAAGCAGCACTGTGTGTTTACCTAATCAGATTCATGTATTCAAAAGATTACTCTCTCTGTTATTTGAATAATGAATCCATGCGTCTGTGTGTTGGGTGAGGATAAGGGTGTGAAACTAGAGATGGGGATTAAAGTAGAAGCTGGAAGATTAAGTATCCTGGCAAAATGAGAGTGATGAAAGTGGATTGGGTGTGATAGAAGTGCAGATGGAAAAGTGTGAACAGATTCTGGATGTAATTTAAAGATACCAGTCATGACACTTGTAAATGGTTTTAGTAAGTTTGATATCAAACAAAAAAGAATTAAGCATTATGATTAAGTTTATGGCTCTAAGCAACTAGTGAAAGGTTGCTGAGATGGAAAAGACTACAGGAAGAAATGGTTTCAAGTGGGAAAATCAGAATTCTGATTTGAATGTTATGTTTCAAATGGCTGTGAAATGTTCAGGTGGAGATATTGAAACGTCTGGGAATTTGAAAGAAGGCCTAGGTTAAAAATAAATCATAGTTAGATTACAACACACACACACACACACACACACACACACACACACACAAAACACTGGTTTAAATAGTTTGAAGAATTCTCCCCCTTTACCTTACTGAGAATATATGCCAGATAAGTGCAGGCCCATTGAGCTGGTTCCAATGGTTCTTCAATAGCCTCCGTCTCTACTGTCCTCTCATAGTGGCAAGTTTCTCATCTTGCTAGACTTTACCGTAACGAGTCAGCTTGTCTTTGTTATAACATAGATCTGAAATACAAGCCAGATATTTTACTTGGTTATCAAAGAAACAGCAACCTCTGTCAGTGCTGGAGTAATAAAAGGTGGTAGGTTGTTCTCTAAGAAGGTGACTTTTCAAAAGATTCTCAAAGTAATTCTGATCAGCAATAATTTGAGTCTTACTCTTCAACTTTCAAAAAAAAGCTGAAAAGCATATACATGGATTATTACTATATTGATGGTATTTAAGGCCAGGAGAATGAATGGGATCACCTGGGAGAGAGAGAAGAGAATCCTTCAACTGAGGAAGTCATAGGAAATTCCAGCATTCAGAAATCTGGCACAGGGAGAGGGCTTAGCAACAATGACTGATTAGAAGTATACGAAGGGGTAGGAGAAAAATTAAGAATGCATAGTGTCAAAAAACCCAGGAGGAAGGATTTCTGAGAGTCGATCAACTACATTAAATGTTGTTGAAGTTTGATTAAGATGCAATATAGGCTATATATCCAGTGCCCAGTACACAGCCTGGAACTCAGGAGGCATTCAATGTTTTGTTGCTTGATTGCTATAACATCTCATCATATACTCTCTTAGAAAATATGATGAACCTTGTTTTATTATTGTAGGAATTCTTATGTTGTCTGCCCAGCAAAAAGAAACAAAATCATATAGATATCTACAAAAGACTCTATCTGAAACTACTGTGCAGAAAATCACACAGGCTTGGGAAATTTGATTGCAGCATGAATACCAGTCCAAAATAATGCAATCGTTATAATGATCTGCTGAATTTTTATTAGGTTTTGACTAGTCCCTTTACTCTGAGATTTAGAAAGAGCTTTGAAGATACGCATTAAAAAAAGCAGGGCTGGAATTGAGGCAGAAGGGAAATTTTCAGTTCTCCAATCAGTTAGATGAGTGGTGAGGACTGACCTATTTGTTACCTAATTTCAGGGTGGCTGCAAGGACAAGGCAGGTATTCCTCTATGCTCTAGAAATGTTATTTCAAAAAAATTGAAATTCCTGTCACTAAGATCTATTTGTAGAAATATTTCATTTTAAATAATCTGGTAGGATTTTAATGTATTTTAGTTATATTGGAAAAGGAAAAGCAACAGAAATATAGCTTTAGTTATTAAAAACAAAACCAAACAACAAAAAAAATACACACACACAGTAACAGAAAACAAAGCCCAAACTCCCCTTTCGTGGCTAGGATAATTTATCTTTCTATAAGGTAATTCCTTAAGGGTATCTTCCTTGAGTTTTTTTTCTCTTGATTTATGACTTCTTTTCTATTAAACCTTTTTCAAGCATGGCCAATCTGACTGTTGAATGATTGACAGAGTTTAAACCTTTGCTAAGACATCAAGCTCAAAAGGTTCTAAAATTGTGATAGATCACAGAAAGAAGTTGTTACGAAGGAATTTAAAAATATAAGCCAATAAGCCATAGCTAAGTAAAATGTAGGTTCTATCCAGTTATAATTTTCTGGGTTCAAGGCAACATTTCTTCATTCTAACTTCAGAAACCTGGGCTTTAGTCTTCTAATATAAACGACAGTATTCCTAATTTGTATGAAAATGGAAGACATTGAATATTTAATGATATGCTTCATATAGATTGAAAACTAGATTTTAATTTTGTATATTCTTAATTATATTTTAGCTTTATGAAGTTATTCACTATTTTGATTAAGCATTTCCTACATTATGTATAGAGAAAGTGGTTGGCATAGAAGTGAGGGGATTAATTTTGGAAACGGCAATGTTAGATTAGTGAGGCAACTATTTAGTCATTAAACTACATTTAGTCAAACTGCATTAAACTATTTAGTCAGAACTACATTTCCAATGATTTCAATCTGATTATTAAACTATTAATAAGTATTACAAAAGAAAATATGATAACAATACTAGTATCGAAGAATACATTAATATATATTATACATGTCGTATGTACACATAAATATTTACTAAAGATAAATACATTGGCCAATGTGGAAAATTTGTTGTTTTTAAAGTAACAATATATAGATAATGCAATTCTATGAAATATTTTTTATATCATTTTTATGGAATGTGTGTTATGAATCATTCAAACATAGTTCAGTTTTCATTATTCTTTAGAGATGTTGAATTACCAAGAAAATTTGAAAATTCAAAAATAGCTTTTGGAATTCTAAATGTAAGTGTTCCTGACAAATACACACAAGCCTTGTTATCTATACCATATCAACGTTAAATCATTTAAATAGGAGTTTAAGTAAGAGAAGGAATATCTAAAATTATTTAGAACATTGAAAGCTTTCAGAATAAATTAGTTTTTGTTCCCTATTTTACCTGGGCATACCATAAAGACATTAAAAAATGTACATGGAGAAAAAGCTTTTCCAAGTATAAGGTCAACATCTAGTTTTAGGAGAAGGTGGCAGGAATTCAGTAAGTAGGAAAGAGGGTATCAATGCAGATATAATTGTCATAATTCACAAGGATTTAGGTGTAAAACATCTTGGATCTTCACCCATAAACCCAGGGGACGGTAGAAATGTTTTAAGCTCAGTTTAGACCACTAAGTTTAGTGGTGGTCCCCAAGGACAGTGACTAGAAAGCCCAATTAAAATGTCTGAGGAGACCTAGTGCACTTAGGCCCATTTAGGCTGTTGGCTTAAGCAAGGGGGAATAGTGTGTGGGCAGCAGAATGCCCTGGGCAATTGTTTTATTCTGATACTAAGTTTGGTTTATGCAGAGGTTGATATCCGGATTGAAGTGAAACACCAAGCAGTGGTTAGAGATGCCACTATAAGGTTAACTCCTTAGGATATGGGATTGAAAAGGTTTGGGGTGATTTTCCTGGTCCCAATGAAAGTAGGTGGGGTTAGGGAAATGGGACAAGAGTATAATTTTATTAAGTTAGTACAGGTAAAACGAGGGGAGTAGATGAGATATCACTCATTTTACAGGTGTGTTCAGCTTGACTAGACCCACTCAGGACTGGAAGTAGCAAAGGAATTCCAGATTCTGGCTGCTGATGATTTGGGGCCTCAAATATGCTAGACTGGATTAAAATAGCTTACACTTTGAACATCTGTTTTAGCAGCCAGCTAAGAGTGGGAAATGCAAGGACCATTTAACTATTAAGTACATCATATGTATGGATTGCAAAGGGATCTAAACCCACAAGAAGGAATGAAATGGCTCTACTTTCAAAGGATACAAATGTGAAATTTAGTGAACAATGATTCATGTTCCAATTAGCAGACCCAAATCTTCTTTGAAAGAGATAGCATGGTGTTTCCCAGTTTAGAATAGGCAAGGCTGAGGAAAGTTATATTCACTATCTCCTTGCGCTGTGGATTTACAACTAGTTACCACACAAAGTAGAGAAATGGCAGTCCAGTGACTCAGGGTCAGGTTCTCTGACACAATGGTCAGAAGTATTCTCCACTGGGTTTCCACTTAGGTCCTTCATTTTGCAAGGGAGGAAACTGAGGCTGCTTCTGACTCATGCAGTAAATCAGAAATGCCATCAAGGTTATATTCCTGTCCAGTAGACTTTCCGCTGCATGATATTTTTAGAATTAATTACTATATACATGTCTTTTCTATATCACATGCACACCATCATCAAGATTACTTCTTCTGTTTCAGGGACATTCAGATAATGGCTCACTCTTTATTTTTAAAAAGGTTCCCTGCTTGAAGCTTTTACTGTGGATTGGACAATTTATAATATATGAGAAAGTAATGTGAAGTTAGGAAAGTAAATTTCAGGCATTGACAGACAATCCCTGTTAAAAGTATTTTTTTTCCTATATTTTGTGGTGTCTAATAGCACACCCTAATCACACCTAACCGTCTGCTTTAAAAGTTTCACTAAAGCCTACTTTGTAGCAAGTTGCACTAATGGCAAATCTCGTTGTTAGAACAAGTAATATGAAGGCATCGTAGGAGGTGATAATCCTTCCTTTTTATAGTTGATAAAGTTCCTGGGCACACACCCTTGCTTTCATATACTTACAACTTCCTAAGAAATTAGTCTTTGAATGAATATACTTTGTTTTTCCTTAACCAGAGGATTGTTTTTTCTGAAAGTTAAAAGAAACAATTTAAAGTATCTAACCCTGGTGTGATTCCATCCTATGTGGCTATTCTCTGGGGCAGTGGTCATTTACCTTCCCCTGCCTTATCTCCCACCTAAATGCATGCTACCAGTTCATGGAAGATTCAATGGACATGTACATGATCCCCTGAGCACCCAGAACTGTCTTTTTGGTGGTGAACTAAAGACTGACAGACTATCACTTTAACATGAATAATGATGAAAATGAACACCAGTTATCTCTAAGAATGGTCAGTTTACATCTTGGCTAACACAGTGAAACCCCGTCTCTACTTAAAATGCAAAAAATTAGCCGGGCGCGGTGGCAGGTGCCTGTAGTCCCAGCACTTTGGCAGGCCAAGGCGGGTGGATCATGAGGTCAGGAGATTGAGACCATCCTGGCTAACATGGTGAACCCAGTCTCCACTAAAAATACAAAAAAAAATAGCCGGGCGTGGTGGCGGGCGCCTGCAGTCCCAGCTACTCAGGAGGCTGAGGCAAGAGAATGGCGTGAACCCGGGAGGCGGAGCTTGCAGTGAGCCCAGATCATGCCACTGCGCTGCAGCCTGGGCGACAGAGCGAGGGAGACTCCGTCTCAAAAAAAAAAAAAAAAAAAGAATGGTCAGTTTAGGGACCGGTACAAGGAATGAATTTAATGTTATTGAAACAGGGATAATGAATTATGAAGGCAGCTCAATTAAAGCAACACTGGCAATGTTAAAAAAAAATGTCTGTACAGCCAACTGTTTCCCTGAGAGATTTTAAATAGTACTATCCATGGTCTTAGAATTGCAGTGTAGTTCAGACCTTGTGCATATTAGTAGACAGCACTTTTAGGCTGTGGAGGAAGATGCGGAGTCAGAAGATGAAGAGGAGGCGGATGTGAAACTATAAAGTATATCTGAAAAGTGATCTGCCCCTGGGAGTGGTAGCAAGTTTCCACAGAGAAAAGTACAACATACTGCTGATGAAGAAGAAGATGATGACAATAATTTTGATGATAAGGAAACTGAAGAAAACTCCAGTGAAGAAATCTATGTAAGGTACTCCAGCCAAAAATGCACAAAAATCAAACCAGAATGAAAAAGACATAAAATCATTAAAACCAAGATCAAAAGGTAAAGAATCCTTCCAAAAAAAAAGAGGAAAATATTCTTACAATACCAAAAAGACCTAGTCCTATAGAAGACCTTAAAGCAAAAATGTTAGCAATAATAGAAAAAGTAGTTCTCTTCCCAAAATGAAAACCATATTCATAAATTGTATAAAGAATTGCTTCTGTATGACTGATCAGGAGGCTATTCAAGATCTCTGAATAAGGAAATCTCTTTAAGAAAATAGTTTAGGCTGGGCGCGGTGGCTCACGCCTGTAATCCCAGCACTTTGAGAGGCTGAGGCAGGCGGATCACGAAGTCAGGAGATCGAGACCATCGTGGCTAACATGGTGAAACCCCATCTCTACTAAAAATACAAAAAAATTAGCCGGGTGTGGTGGCGGGCACCTGTAGTCCCAGCTACTCGGGAGGCTGAGGCAGGAGAATGACATGAACCTGGGAGGTAGAGCTTGCAGTGAGCCAAGATCGCGCCACTTGCACTCCAGCCTGGGCGACAGAGTGAGACTCCGTCTCAAAAAAAAAAAAAAAAAAGAAAAAGAAAAGAAAAGAAAGAAAATAGTTTAAAGTTTGTTAAAATCTTCCATCTTATTTTATTTTTGTAACAGTTGATATTTGGCTTTCCTTTTTATAATACAGAGTGGGAACTTTCCCTGCCATGTTGGATAAATATTGCCCATGTTGCATTGCCAAAAATATATTGTCCAAAGTGCCTGTTTAGTTGTTAAGGATGGAACTCTACCCTTTTCTTGGTTTTAAGTATGAATGAAATTAGGGAGGACATAGTCGAAGCAGTGGTCACACTTGGAAATGATGGGAAAACAAAAATATACATATGAAACTCAGTGTATGATTTTTAAAAATAAAATATTTGAATGGCAAGGAAAATTATTTACGAGCATAAAATATATATAGATATATTTTAATATCCAAACTTGAGATGTTTATGAAAATCTGTATTTCAATTTGGGAAACAAAAAGGATAAGAATGAAATTTTAAAACGAATTCAGGATGAATAAAAAACAAAACAAAACACACACACACATGGAAACCAAAGGTTAGTGGCCATTACTAGAGATAGTTAGCATAAAACATCTTTTTTATCAAAATTGCTGGATTTTCCTTTTCCTTACTCTTTACCTACAGTCACCATTTTCAATGTTTTTGAAAGTCCTTTAAGGACCCCTTTAAGGACTCAGAAAGTAAAAGTGCCATTTTTATTTGGCATTTTAATTTTAGAACAATTATTTCAAATTAAAAACAATATGTACACATAAGAAATTCAAATGGAAGAAAATGGGCATACAATGCTAATTTTCTCTAAACTATTCTGCAGAGGCAAAGGTCATTAAGAGTTTTTTGTTTAATCTTCCAGGAATTATGGCAACATAAGGCTTTATATATAAAAATTTCTTTGAATAAAACAAGTGTAGATCATAATTCTGATGCAAATATATATATAATTTATATATATACATATACATGGCTACTGTATATACATCTACATATATATGTACATATCAACACTTTAAAAAATGTTTTATTGTTTTATTTGAAACCACTTGTAAAAGTTATCATCTCCTAAGGAAATTAACCCCAACTATAATTTTTAATTATATTGATTTATTCAAAATTTTACTAGGATGATGTGGCAAAGATCTATTTTTTCCTAATATCTATTTTCTCTCCTCTAAACTAATTGCATCCTGATAACTTAGGTGGATTAAAAGACAACCAGAGTAAAGACTTCATTTCCCAGTTTACGAGATGTTTATGTATGGCCTTGTCACTAAGCCCAACCCTTGGCATATTAAAAGAATTGATGCTTAATGACGCCTGGGTCATTTCCTTAATGATTAGCAGCACAGATAGGGTAGGGAGCAATTTTTGAGGCCATGTTGGGGGTGCAGTGTGGTAGGCAGAAGTCTGGGGATGATGGAGTAGTAAGATAGAAGGATCTCGACACTGTGAAGCCACCAGACCAAGGCTGCACTGCTATGCCTGGACTGTTACCTGGTCTGCCCCTCATTAGGAAGAAGCAAACCTGCATATAGTTTACAATATTCTGTTATTATTGATCATAATTTACTAGTTAAGATATTTTTTAAAAAGGAAGCCAGATATAAAAACTTATTTTAACTCTTTAAGGGCTTTAAAAAACAAGGTGAATGGAAAATTGTGCATTTCTTCCTGTTTCTATTTAAAATCTGTGATCCCCTTAGAGAGGCTGTATAAAAGATGCTGGGAGCTTTTACAAAATATTATAGCTGAACAGTGTTATTAAAAGTCCTCTCAGGATAGTTTGTTTTCCCTGGGTGGTCCTTTTACAGTAGATATTAAAACTCAAAGCCAAACCTTCACAATGACCCTCCTCAGTGTGGGGCTTGGGATCAAGGCCTATGTACAACCGTGAAAAAGCTTTATACTTTAATTTCAGCTTCTTAAAAAATCTCCCAAAGTATTGGATTTCACTAAATGATATATTTCTTTTCTTTTTTCTCTACTTATTGTAAATATCCACATTATGTTTAAGTTAGTCTGTAGATCTACATTAGAAGAGATACTATTAATCAAAAAAATGCCTAAGAAGTAATAAGCATGTGAATTTATTTCCAGTCTTACAGGCTAGTGAAGGATTTTGAATTATATTAGATGACACAAATAATGTTTTAGGATGAGAAATTGCAAAACTAACTCATCTCAAAGTACATGTCAGTTTGGATGAATGTTTTTTCATTCTAACAGTCTAACTATTTTTTGTGTATATTATTATTTGTTGCCAGTGTCCAAAAATTAGCATTTCATAAAATGTGAATATTTCTATTTGCATTATTGCTAAGAAGAGATTTGTCCACAAGCTTTTATGATGCAAGTAGATTTAACCTAAATCCAAAATTTAATTACAAATAAGGTTGTGTTGACTCATCCTTATGCATTTCAATTAGATGGGAAACACACCAGCTGGGAGCTCTCCACTTATAGATTAAGAAACATTAATTTCAAGATATCCCAGCATACATAAAAAGGATCCAAATCATCATAGCCTCTCAGTACTTTTATTTTTATATACCTGTTTGGCATAATACATATTTTTCCATATTGTCTAATTGTAAAGATTTAGTGGCAGAAATAAAAGTACCACAATGTATTGGCTTAGAGCATCCCCAAGCAAGTTCATGTTATAAACTTATCATTTCAAAAGCCTTGTAATTCATAATTCTTGAATTTTACTAAACTCATAGAAAGATTTTTTTATTATCTTGTGCTTTGTTTGTGTGTGTTAGTTATCAATACAAAAAAAAGTTTATTTAAAAGACCTCAGATGATTATTTTGATCCTTGGAACTTTCAAGACATTATCCTTCTGTACTATTGGAACAAATTAGACATTCTGTGAGAGATGCAAATACAACTTCCAAAGCTACATTTAATTGCATAATTTGTAATAGAAGCTGGGTGTGGGCACTGCCTGCAGGGTGATAAACAATCCAGAATAATCTAATCAGCATGATCATTGAATTTTTATTAGTCTTTGGTTAGTTATCCATTAATATGTGAAGGATCCCATCTTTGTGCCTTTATCTTTCACTACTGCACCTTTTTAAAGTTACTACAGAGAAATTTAGAGAAAACCAGAAAATGAATATCTCTAATTTACTTTAAAATCTAGCTCTACATACATCTTCTCTTGAAAATTTAACTCTGCATTGAGCAGTCCCCAGATTTTACTAATATGTTGCATTTGCTGTGCATACAGTGTGGGTTAACCTTAGCATGTACCTGATATTACTCAATTTTTATATTTGCCAATCACAAAAATTTAGGGAAAATGAAGGTGAGCAACACTTTCTCTTCCTTTTTCCATCTTCCATATCATCTGGAGATGTCAGAACATCTTAGTCCTAATTCTTTCATTAATAGCTGAGTGCCAAATCACCTCACTTCTTTAGCTCTCAATTTTCTCATCTGTAATATATAAAGTAGTATGACAAGAAATTTTTCTAAGGCCCATTAGTACCTAAAGTATAGGAACAAAATCAGGATCCCTACAAACTTAGTGGCTTAAAACAGCACAGTTCTTTGTCTTATGGTTTTTCGTGTCAGAAATATAAAATGTCTCACAGGGCTAAAATCAAGGTGTTGGTGGGGTTGTGTGTTGTCTTGGCCCGTGGCTCCTTCCTCCATTTGCAAAGCCAGGATTATAACATCTTTAAATCTTCTTTCTCTCTCTGGTTCTCTCTGACACATTAAAAAGACCCTTGTGATTACATCACTCTCACCCGTGTAATCCAGGATGATTTTTTACATCTGCAAAATTCCCATTCCTATATAAAGTAATATATTTTCAGTTTCAAGGGATTAGGATGGAGACCTCTTTGGGGAACTATCATTCTGCCTCCACACCAATGAACCCTGAATATCTTGCTTGCGTTTGCTTTATAAAACTACCATAACTAATTTAATATCTTGGCAAATTTTTCTCCTTTAATATTGACTGGTTTCCCCAATTTCCTGGTTTATTTCTCTTCCTAAGAATAAGCACAAGTAAACAGGTAAGACAAAATAAAAATGACAACCTTAAGAAAGTTCCTAAAATTTAGGAAATGTACAGTTTTCATTCATGGACTCTGGTCTAGATTTCGTGACTATCTAAGTTAGATGCTAGGTGACATTAGATGCCACTCCTCAGAGGTGGTCCTAAAATTACCTCTTAGAGCTCAGAGCTCCATGGAGACTTGGGGAGAGCAGCTCTGCATTTCAGTCCTTCAATGGCATTCTTACCCACATTTGTGGAATGAGGGGAGAGTATCTAGGCAATAGCTTCTTAGTTCTCCTTTAATGAAGACCACGACCACATTCTTTTTTCTGGCACAAGAATCCTTTCATTGGTTCAAATGTCAGAGATAAAATCATTTTTCTTCTTCTATGGTTGCCTTCACTTGCTGGTGCTAAAAGTGGTCACTACAAGACTTGTTTACTTCTTCAGTATAATTTGTCTATTTTCTTTTTCTCTTTTAAAAATTATAAATGTATAAGTTGTACTTAAATTCAATGTCATATTTTTAACTCAAATAGAACCAATGATTTGATTATCTTGAGTACTAAGTGTCTGATGCTCTAATCTGAGTTTCTTTCTCAAACATAGCAACTATCATCAATTGGTAAATACCTTCCAGACTATTTTTCTATGTATTTGCAGATGTATTTAATTATATATATATATATACACACACACATATATATATATATGCATGTATGTATGTATCAATGTATACTTCTCTTTTGTGGAGTTTTAAAATGAGTGATGTCATATCATATACTATATATATTATCTCAAAACATTTTTGTACTTAGTAAAATATCTTGGTAGTCTTTCAATGTCCTCATCTATTGATTTGCTGTATTATTTTTTATTGATGTGTAGCATTCTTTAGTATAGATGTACTATTATCATTTCCCTGTAGGATCAACAAATGATTACCAGTATTAATCCTGTTATAATCACTGGAGAAATTAGCATATTTTTATGTCTCTAGGGTGGAAGATCCTGATCAAAGAAATGACATATAAAAAAATCAAGGTATATCCCATACTGTGGCTTTAAAAGATTGAATTAATTTTTAACTACTCAGCTGTCCATGTGAATATGTTCCTTAAATTTCAACAATACTTGCCCATTTCATAGATGAAACTGTCAACATTAATGACTGTCTCCCCCACAAGACCACAGAGCTCTGTAAGACCAGGGCCATGTGTACTGTGCCCATCACTGTATTGTCTATATCTAGCTCAGCACCTGGCATATAACAGTCCTTTAATATGTTTCTTTGAATGAATGAAGAAAACCCTAAATGGAATGACATTGTACGAAGTTTTCATTTCATTAATCCTTACTCTAAAATTTATACAGTTTTAATATGGGAACTTAGAATGTTTCTACATTTTTTAAAATCTGAAATTAATTACAAATAAAAGTGGTGCTTTAGGAAGGAGAAGCAAGTCAATAGAAGAGAAAGGGGACAAATATCCAAGGGTCTGAGAGAATATTTGCCCCCCAAGAGACTGGCCAGAAAGGATATATAAATGACATCAGGAGGAATTGCAGAAGGTTCAGCTGCACCTCAAGCAGCTGCCAGAACAGAACAGTGAACTCAAATCCCTTGGAGCCATGGCCTTGGAGCAGCACGAACGCTGGTGGCTCTGTCCAGAACATGCGACCCTCTGTAACCAAAGCCAGCAGGTTCAGCAGAATCTCTGTCTTCACCCAAGGTGACTGCATTGGCAGCAGTAAATGTGCCAATGCAGGAAGGATCTCCAGGCCAGGTATGGCACTATATGCCCCAGAAATGTGCAACCAGGTCACCTCATCCCAGTCTATCCCGAACCTTCTCCCTTGTTCAGCAGCAGCAGCAGCAGCAGCAGCAGCAGCAGCAGGAGCAGCAGCAGCAGCAACTTTGTGCTCTCCCACCCACGCCTCAGCAACAGCCACCCTTGAATAATCACATGATCTCACAGACAGATGACCTCAGCAAGTCCTTTAGACAAATGAGCCCTAGCTGCCAAGGTTCTACTAAAGCAACTGACTGATCGGCAGCTCTGTTCCAGCCCCCACTCATCTCCCAGCACCGTCAGTGGACTAACTTCGTCATGGCTTCCATGGGTCAGTCCCTCCCCACCTCTAACTGTTCCACCTCTAGCCATGCACCACCTACTCAGCAAGTGCTGCTACCCCGGGGCTACATGCAGCCTTCTCAACCAACAGTTCCAGGTTTCTTTCTAATCCCCCTGGACAATATCCTAATTCCAACCAGCAATATTGACCTTTCTCTCACCTGGTGGCCTACAGATCCTGATGTGGTCAATAGCTGGCTCGGCCATCCCAGCAGCCCAGTTTATAGCCCATGATGCCTAACCAGCAGCAGGTGGCTTACCAAGGAATGACTGGGGTCCAGCAGCCACAGAACCAGGGCCTGCTCAGCAGTCAGAGAAGCAGCATGGAGGCCCAGATGCAAGGCCTGGTGGTTCAGTACACTTCACTGCCTTCTTACCAAGTCTCAGTGGGTAATTACTCACAAAATGTGGTCCAGCACCCTTTCTAGCAACTCATGCTGGCCCCTGTGAGCCAGTTTGGGTAAGGAGGCCCCCCAACAGGGGGCATACCAGTGTACTACAGCATGATCCCACTGGCTCAGCAGAACGGTACAAGCCCTACTGTTGGGGTTTTGCAACCTCCTGGGTCTCAGCAGTACCAGATGATTCAGTTTCCCTCTCCCTGCCGTCTACCACAGATGCTGCAGTAGCAGTCAAGAGTGTCACCTTCTGGACCAGGTGTGGTGGTCATGAGCTGAATTTCGCTAATGGAGCCTGACCCCACTCAGAACCCATCAAGGGTCCAGTGGAGTCACTGTAAATACTACAACATGGACCATGAGGGGCAGAAGCCTGGAGACCTGTACAGTCCTGACATCAGCCCCCAGGCCAACATACAAATGAGCAGCAGCCCTGACACATCTCCTACCCAGGCTTTGCCACCTTCTCTTGTCACCAGCCTCAGTGGTGGCTGTCTGCACAGGACTCAGTCCCTTGCTTGTCCTCAGATGGTTCCCCTGGCCTGGGGGTCCAGCACAGGGTGATGGGTGCTACTCCCTCTTAGGCCAGCCTTTAGAGTATAATCTGTCCATCTGCCCTCCCTTGCTGCATGACCAGTCAACTTACACAGTACACCAGGGACAGAGTGGACTGAAGCATGAAAACCAGGGCAAGAGACAAGCACTCAAATCTGCCTTCTCTGACATGGGGACAGCAGATGTTGTTTTGGGGCAGGGGCCGGAGGTAACAGATCTCCCTAAGGGCATCACCTGTACCGAGGCAGACAAACTCTTTAAGCAGCTTGCCATGTCCAGTGCCAAGACCCAGCTCAGGGGCTGCCTGGTGGGGGTGGAGGGGACAATGGTGGGACTGCTGAGAATGGCAACTGCTTGGACCTTGCTGCCTTTTACACCATCATGGCTGTGTTCCCTAACCTGCTGGCTGCTCAAAATGCCTCCCTTCATCTCAACAACTCCCTGAATAGCTTCACACTTTGAATGGCCAAAAAGAACTATGACCTGAGGATCCCGGAGTGAGCCAGCACCCACTAAATGGAGAAGAGGAAGGGAGCAGCCCAGAAGGGGCGGGGGCAGGATAGAGGGTGTTGAAGGATCCTGATAGACTGTGGATGGAGACAGAAAGTAAGGAGACTGACGCTAAACTGGAGCCTAAGACAGTAGTGATGAAGACCGAAACAGAGGGACATCCACACTGGCATTGGATTCCTTCAGGCTCTCCTTCTTTGGGTCCCCTTTTTTCCCCTGGTTGGCCCCTCTGCTTCCTTCTTCTTCCCATCCACTTGTATCATTTTAATCTATTTTCTCTTCTATTTTTTGTTCAGGAATAAGTATTCTCCAATTTTTATTTTAAACATCTCAAGCTCCCTTTCCTTTTTTTTTTTTTTTTTTTGAGATGGAGTCTCATTGTCACACATCCTGGAGTGCAGTTGCCTGATATCGGCTCACTGTGACCTTTGCCTCCCAGGCTCAGGTGATCCTCCTGCCTCAGCCTCCTGAGTAGCTGGGACCACAGGTGCATGTCACCAACCCTGACTAATTTTTTGTATTTTTTGGTAGAGATGGAGTTTCACCATATTGCTCAGGCTGGACTCAAACTCCTGACCTCAGGTGATCCACCCGCCCCAGCCTCCCAAAGTGCTGGGATTACAGGCATGAGCCACCACTCCTGGCCCTTTTTTGTCTTTATGAATGTATTTATATGGACAGAAATATGGACAGAATTATGATAAACAAAATTGATTTCCACATTCTCTCACTTCCTCATCTTGCCTTCCCAAACCCCACAGAGTTAACACTGGGAACTCCCCTCACCTCCAAGAACACTTGTATATTGTTTGTTTAATATCTGTGCCACAGTAATAGACAGTGTTTAATTGCACAAATAGATGTTTGCTGGGTATATTCACTGTAAATTTTATTTAATCTGTTTTTTTTTATTTGAGGGCTATTTGGGGGCAAAGTTGATTTTGTTTTTAAATATAAAAAAAATTGTCACTGGAAAAAAATACAACTCAGCATTCCATTGGAAGAATACTCAGTAATCTTTTGCCCATTACAAATTCTTTTCACAATTTTTCCTTAAGCAACACTTTTATTTGCAATTAATTTCAGATTTTAAAAAATGTAGAAATGTTCTAAGTTCCCAAATTAAAATTATATAAATTTTAGAGTGAACATTGATGAAATGAAAGCTTTTGCACAAATGTCATTTTATTTAGGGTTTTCTTCATTTATTCAACCAAACAAATTGAAGGACTGTTAAATGCCAGGTGTTGAGCTAGATATAGACAATACAGTGACAGGCATGGTGCACGTGCCCTGGCCTCACCGAGCTCTATAGTCTTGTGGAGGAGACTGTCATTAATGAAACTGTCATAGGTGCTAGCAAAGCACAGTATGCAACAGGGTAAGGTTGATGGAACATGAGGTGGCAGGGAAAATTTCTCTGAGGCAATATACTGTGAGCTTGGCCCTAAAGGAACAGTGAAATAGATGAAGAGTGTAGTGAGAGAGGGAGAAGAGAGAAAGCAGTTCATGAAGAAGGGCTATCTCATGCAAAGGCTCTGTGCATGAAGGGAATATGGTTGTATTGGAGAGCTAGGCAGAGTGCCTTGAGGTGGAATCAGAAAAAGACAGGGCTAAAGCCTACAGTGCTGTGGTTATGGCCATAGCAGACATTTGAGGAGGGGAATAACATGGTTAGAGTTGCATTTTGAGAAGATCACCCTGCCTATCTTATGGAGACATGGCCCAGAAATGATGCTGAGAGACCAGCTGAGACCATTATATAGTTGTTAAGGACATCAGTATGACTAACATCAGGGTTACATATAAGCGATCATAAAAATATGGCTCAACGAGGGAGTCAAGGTGTTTTGAAGGTATCTTTAAGAACCAAGTGGTTAGTTTTGCTCAGTTTTGTTTGATACAAAGTTGTAATTTAATTCATGAATAGTAACAGCTCTGACATTTTACCAATAGGGAACTTTACAAAACTGTGCACCACACTGAATAAACGGAAACCTTTGGATCTGGCTGAATCTACTAGTTAGTAATGCTGTTCAGAAATTAATATATGATCTGTGGCACTTTTTTTTGGAATGGCCATTTACTCAGAATTTTTAAACAGTATTTTATTATGGAATGTATTATATTTGTACTCTGAGGAAGCTTAAGATAGTTTGGTGATACATATAATTCTTTTGAATTTCAAATAACACATTTGGTTTATTTTTCCCTTCTTAAACTAGAACACATCTTCCTGGAAGAATTGGGTGGGCTTATGTTGTAAAATTGCTTCTGTTTCAACGAATTCTGTCCCAATTAGGAGCCAATACTTTATATAAGGATGAAAATATTTGAAAATAATACCTTATACTTTTATCAAAAAATTGTATATATTTCTTATTTTTAAACCTAAATTTTCTACTGTTACTGTCATTATATTATGTATTTTAGTCACCATACATAAGTCATAGCCATTAAGTGATTATTCATCTTAAAGCTATAGCTCCAAATATTGTCTATCCTGTGTGTATTTTTTATGCTTTGTACAATAGTTGTATTTTGAGAGTAAAAGTTTTAGCCATAAGCAAATCCTAAAACCATCTGCAGTAAACCAATCAAAATGTGATTTCCAAAAAAAATGCTAAGGGGCAAGACACCTCAGATCATTCTCATGTCATAGATTGGCAATGTGCAAGAAAATTCTGTTCCTCACTTCTTTGATTTTATCCCTTATTGTCAGTAGATTCAGAGGCATGAGTTTGTATTTCCTTAGCTTCCTTCTGCTGCTTTCTACCCCTTTATTCTTCCAGTCTTATGTAAGAATACTTTTTCTTCTGTGATTCTTCTCATGTAGCTGAGTTCTGACCTTCTATTAGGCCAGAGGAATCAATATTGTGATAAGATTCTTGCCAAACTTTTGCCCATGAGAAAAATCTTGGGGAGAATGAGGAAGTTAGCTAAGAATTATGATTTTCAGATTGTGAATAATCACGCACACCAAAAAAAAAAAAAAAAAACCCAAACTAAAATATCCCAGATGACTAACAGCTATATTGGGTTGAATGATGATGTAACCTACTTAATTTGCATGTAATTTTCATCTAATCAAATGTAGAAATGTGTCTATTTTTTCTTCACTTCTTTGATTTTATCCCTATTGTCAATAGATTCAGAGGGATGGGTTTGCATTCGCTTAGTTTCCTTCTGCTGCTTTCTAACCCTTTATTCAGCCAGTCTTATGTAAGAATACTTTTTCATCCCTGTGGTTCTTCTCATGTAGCTGCACTAATGTGTGACTTTTTAAATCAATCATCCTGTCAGCTATTCAGACTTTCTCATGTATAGACATTTGCTTCTTTTCCTTCATTCAAAGTCCTGCCATAATCTTAAAGGATTTGAATCCATTTAATAATTTAGTCTTTACATTTTTGGCTCTACTTAATCCAAGGACCTCTGTCTTTCCTGTTCTCTGTGTCTCATTTTGGATTGAATCTTCATTAGCAGCTTCTGTAATGTTAATTCCAGATCATAGTTCACTTTTTTATAACCACCTATGTTTTCAGATTTCACAGATCCTCATTCCACTATACATATCATTCAAGCTGAAAGATGATGATCATGTTAAATCACCTCAAGCTCCCTCAATTTTCTTCCAGATAACCAGCAGCAGCTACTGTTCTAAATCCTTCCCCATCACACCCTCTTTTCCTCATTTTTCTTCTCTTTCACCCTGAAACCCCTTCTACTTCAATTCATTGGTTTTATCTTGCACCTTGTTTTGAACACAACAATCTAGTCACAAATTCCAACTTCTAGTTAAAAAATCTGCATTTTTCTGCTCCTGTATCTGGGCAGCCGAAAAGTTGCACATATTCATGGTCTCAATGTCAACACCACTGTTAGCACATTTGATTAATTCTTTTGTCTTTATTCATTTGCCTCTTTTCTCGTTAAAAGTCAGTCTAACTTTCTCTATTGTAGTTTTCAAACCTACATTTTACCCATGCACCTTTATTCTCAATTGTAGATCTTCCTGCCTGCTTTAAGGAGAAAACTAAGGTCAGCAGGTTATTTTCCTTAGCTTCCCTACTCATAACACCTTAAAATGTATCCAGTCTATAAGACACAGTGCCCTCTGCCTGTTCAGTACTAATCTCTTCCATACACACATTTTATGCCCTCTTAACCTGCCTCTTTCCTGTCTTGTTCTCATCATCAATCCTCTTTCTCTTGTAGCTTCAATATATGTTTTTCCATTGGTTTCTCCTAGATTATAAACATGCTTATGCCTCTCACATCTAATGAAACAATTCAAACTCAAAAGTCTCCCTCTAACACAACTTATTTTTGTCATATTCTTCTCATACCTTCTTTAGAAAGAGAAACCCACATTCACAGTCTCCACTACCAGACTTCTCATACTCTTCATGATCGACTGCAATCAGGTTTCAGCTCCTTCTGATTTCCAAATCTAATGGAGATGTATCAGTTCTTATTTTATCTCCAAATGAAGCTAGCTATTCTCTTATTTCTAAAATATCAATAAGGATTTTTGTTTGTTTGTTTGCAAGAAACATGTACCAATTCGTAAGGGAAAGATATCACAACAAGAATTGGAAGACATGGGAAGTAAACTCAGAAATTTGGGGCAGTCCAACATTTTTTCAGGCTACTGCTTATAGAATGAATAAGTATTGAATTAAAATTTTCTGTTTTTGAATCATAGTGCTAAAATTCAAAGACTTGAGAGAGAAAATCCAACTGATCAATCCTTTGTCACAGGTTGTATCCTTCCCTGGTCAATGATGGATGCCAAGAAACATTGATGGCCCTACAATTTCCATAACATTACATTCCCATGATTTTCTTATCTCTCTCTCTGTCCTTTTATACACTTATTAGTTTCTTGTTTGTCCACTATTTAAATATTAATGTTACCTCATGGCTTTATTCTTTTCATCTTTTGATATCATCGTATGTAGTATCATTCTGCATCATGACTTCATCTAAATTGGCTACTTTTTATCAAGTTTTCTGTGTGGATGGGTATTGTACTAAGTGCTTTATATAGATAAAAACTTATACAATATTTTATGAGATATTAGATTATAATATTCATTTTACAAATAAAAAAAAAAAACTTGGGCTCAGGGAGATTAAATAATGTTTCCGGTTCCTACAGGTCTTTAGTGAAACTGGAGAATCAAGTCTCCAACAACCAAATGCTCTTGCCATCTATGTACTGACAATTTTCCAAATATATTTTCAACCAAGCTTTGTCAATGGCTCATTTGACATCTCCTCTTAGTCTCAGCATTCAGAGGGCTTTATATATTTAAAATGAAATTTATCATCTTTTATGGCTCCTGTTTGGTGACTCTCATGACTACTAAATATTAAAACTTAGTGTTGGTGATTGTAGTGGTGAAGAGAGGGAGTCTTCATCAACTTCACTTTCATATTCTATTAATAAATGTCGCTGTCCTCCATGTCCTTCACAATCGACCCTCATTATTTCATATTCTATTAATAAATGTCACTGTCCTCCATGTCTTTGACAATTGACCCTCATTATTTCAACAAGAATGTGTTAACAGCTTCTAAGCTGAATTCCTAACCAAATAACCATCTCATTCAAATCTATCACCCATATAGATTCCTAAGTGTTTAAAAGCAGCTATGTTATTTCTCCATTTAAAGTTCTCAATTGGCTTCCTGTGTCCTGTAAGATAAAGTCCAAATTCCTTAGCATTGACATACAAGAGTATTTCTGATTTGGTCCTCTTTACTTCTCCAATTTCATCTCTTAGGTCCATCTGATCTAAATCCTGTGCTTCTGGAATACTTGGCTGCATAAATACCCTGAAAGTACCATGACGCTGAAAAGACACTTTGGATTATTTATTCATGTATACTTCCTGTTTTTAAATTTTTTATTTTTCTCCCTTCCTATTTCCTGATCTGGACAACTCTTTTCCTCTTTGACTCATTACATCTTCAAAGAAAGCTATTGAGTTATTTCCCTTCATGGATGTCACCATAATTATCAGTGAAGAACTCTGTTATTTACACATTGTATACTTTCCATTCACAGTTTTTAAGAAATCTAGAAATAGAGTGTTTCCATGGGGGAATAGGGGTGTGTTTCATAGAGCATAATTTAATAATGGGTGGCGGGTGGGTTGGGGGAATTGCTGCTCTCAAGTTCTGCATAAGTAAATAGGGCAGAAAGAATTCTAAAAAATAGATAGCTCCAACTGTAGAAACACCCAGATAACAATAACTGGTAATTCAGAGAAACCTAGAAGTACATTAGACAGTCAGATTTAAGATGTTATATTCTGCTAATCATAGTCATACAGAGTACACTCCAGGTAAAGAGATATAAATTGATATGTTTGGGTGATTTCTAATTTGTTTTTGCAATATAATCATGTAATCTCAGGATTGCAAACAACTTTAAACATTATCTAGAAATCTCTTACAAGCCAGCTCATTGTGATTACCTGAGGACATCAATTATGAAGCAATAGATTAACCAGAATGTAAATGCAATGCAGTTTGCATTGTGATACAAAGCAGATGTATTTAAATTTGTTTTACCTCAATAACTAGCTTGGTGATTAGATCATTGTGGGAAATTTCAAAATATACACAGCTTGATAAGGTCTTTCAGGAACTAGTAGTTAGGTCAAAATTCAATTTACAAATGAGTCCAACTACTGAGAAGAGCAAGTAGCTTTGGATTAGTTTTCTATTGTTGCTATAATAACACAAATTTGGTAACTTAAAAAGCAATACAAATTTATTACCTTAAAGTCTGGAGGTCAGAAGTTTGAAATGAGTGTTACTGGGATAAAACCCAGAGTTCCCTCTAGAGACGCTATGATGAATCTATTACCCTGCTGTTTCCAGCTTCTACAGGCTGCCTTTATTTCTTGGCTTATGGCCCCTTGCACTGCCTGCATTTCTTGGCTTGTGGTTCCTTGCACCACAAAGCCAGCTGTGTAGCATCTTTAAAGCTCTCTCTCTCTGGTCTCTGATTAGGGCTTCACATCTTTTCTGACTTTGACTTTCTTGCCTTCCTTTTTTCCTCATAAGGACTATTATGATGACATTGGGTCCCCCCGGATAATGTGGCTAATCATCCTATTTCAATATTCTTAGTTTAATTACATGCAGTATAGCTCGTTTTGCCATGTAGGGTCACATATGCACGGTTCTGGGGAATAGAATATGGCCATATTTGAGGGCCATTTCTACTAATTACAGACCCAGCAAAAATGTTCTGATATTGTTTTCTTTTGTTGCTGCAAAAATGTGGAGCGCTGGAAGTGTTGTGATATTTCATATGTAAAACAAGGATAGTGTTGAAACTCTACGGCCAAAAATGCAAAAGGTCAGTGTGAAACTTCCCTTAAAGGAAGAAGGAAGACCAAGGGAAAGGGTGTATTACAGGCAGTTGTG